>NC_000001.11:244365939-244517454 GCF_000001405.40 Homo sapiens | reverse complement strand
CTAATAAATAATAAATAATAGATATTTTAATTTTGTTTCTGAAAATCATATTCACTATTCAGAATTTTAAATACAACTACCTTTTGTATAACTGCTGAGGAAAGAGTAAATGAAGCATTCTTAATGTAGCAAAGAGTAAGATGGAAGTAAAATATAATAAATAATACATATAAGAAGATTGTAGGAAAAATATCAAGAAAAAGTTAATATAATCATATAAACAAGCTTAAAAATATATATTTTTTGATTAAGAAAGTAATTCATGGTCATTAAAGATAATTTTATAAATATGGAAAAAACTAACACATAGAAATTATCAAAAAGGCAAAAACCACATTAGTGTTTTCTTCAGATTTACCAAGTACAGGTTACTGTTTTATATTCATGTTCAGTCTATAAACATCATTTTCAATGTCTGCATAATTTTTCACTGAGTGAATTATCACCATTTGCTTAACACTCCTGTACTGGACATTTTGGTAGTTTTATTTTTTTCACTATTGGTAAATATTATTGCTAGGAACATCATCAGAGACACAGTCTTTTCCATGGTTAGGACTATTTCTTTTGATAAGATTCTTGGAAGTGTGATTGCTGGGTCAAAAGTTATAAACACTTTAAAAACTCTTTTAGGCTGGGTGCAGTGGCTCAATGCCTGTAATCCCAGCACTTCGGGAGGCCAACGTAGGTGGATCACCTGAAGTCAAGAGTTCGAGGCTAGCCTCGCCAACATGGTGAAACTCTGTCTCTACTAAAAATACAAAAAATAGCTGGGCCTGGTAGCACACGCCTGTAGTCCCAGCTACTCAGGAGGCTGAGGCAGGAGAATCACTTGAACTCAGGAGGTGGAGGTTGCAGTGAGTTGATATCGTGCCACTGCACTCCAGCCTGGGCAACAGAGAGACTCCGTCTCCAAAAGAAAAAAAAAAACAAAACCCTTTTAGCATGGCACGGTGGTGCGCACCTGTAGTCCCAGCTACTCAGGAGGCTGAGGCAGGAGGATCACGTGAACCCAGGAGTTTGAGGCTACAGTGAGCTATAATCACACTACTACACTCCAGCCTGGGTAAAAGAGTGAGACCCCATCTCTAAAAACAAACAAACAAACAAACAAACAAAACTCTCTTGATACATATTGCCAAAATAATTTCTAAAAGAATTATACCAATTTATGTTATTACTAGTGATCTATGACAGAACAAGTTTCATTATATTACTGCTAATGTTTGCATTGTTATTATTATTATTATTATTATTATTATTTGAGACAAGGTCTTACTGTGTCACCCAGGCTGGAGCTCAGTGGCTCAATCACAGCTCACTGCAACCTCTGCCTTTCAGGCTCAAGCGATCGCCCAACCTCAGCCTCCCGAATAGCTGTGACAAGTGTGTGCCACCACGCCCAGCTAATTTTGGTATTTTTTGTACAGATGGGGTTTTGCTATGTTGCCCAGACTGGTCTTGAACTCCTGGGCTCAGGCAATCCTCCTGCCTCAGCCTTCCAAAGTGCTGGGATTATAGGTGTGAGACACCATGCCTGGTATTATTATTTTTAATAGCATTATTATTATATTATTATTATTTTTAATAGTATTTTAAAATATACTAAATAGTATTTTAAAATATTATAATAGTATTGTTATTAAAAATAACAATAATTTTTCTAGTTGTATCAACATATGGCTGTACATGTTGTTAAATTTAATAAACATAGTTGATCTTACCTGATTTTTTAGCAGCATTTGATACATTGGATGAATCTTCCCGTTTGAAACATTCTTACTTGGCTTCCATGTTATCACTCCCTCCTGCTCTATTAATGGTTCCCAGGGTCTGGCCTTAGGCCCCCTCTCTTCTCAGAGTATATTCTCTTCCTACGTGATCTCATTTCACTCATGGCTTCAAGTACCATCCAATTCCTGTACAACTCATCAAATTGTAAGCCAGATCCCAAATTTTATATCTAGTTCTAGATCTGAGGATCTAATTAGATTATTAATCGTGACTTCCAGTTGTCTGAGAAGCACTTCAAACCAATATGTTCAAAACTACACTGCTGCCTTGAGGCTTGCCTCTCAAACCTGCATTTATAAATATTTGTTGAACAAATAATGAAAAAAATCTCACCATCCAGAGGAGAGTATGTATCTTTCATGAGACAGCTGTGATCAGGGAATTCTAGACAGAAGGAACAACAGTTACAAAGTCCCTGAGGTGGGAGAGGAGTTACTATGCTTGAGGAATTGACAGGAAAATAACGGCTCGTGTATAGTAGAAGGGGGAGACTAGTAAGTGGATAAGGTCAGAGAAGAGATAGGCAAGGGCTACATCATGCTAAGCATTGTATGCTTTGGAAAATAAGTTAGATTTTATTCTTAGTACAATGGCCAAACATTGAAGAGATTTTAAAATAGGATTTTAAATTATTTTATTTCAAAACTGTTTGACTCACAAGAAGTTTCCATGTACCCTTTCCCCAGCTTTTTCCCAATGGGAATAGTTTACATAATCCTAATGCATTGTCTAAACTAGGAAATTGATGCTGATACGTTATTAACTCGGGTACAGACCTTATTCAGATTTCACCAATTTTTCCAGGCACTCTTTTTTTTTTTTTTTTTTTTTTGAGATGGAGTCTTGCTCTGTCCGCCAGGCTGGAGTGCAGTGACGTGATCTCGGCTCACTGCAAGCTCCACCTCCCGGGTTCATGCCATTCTCCTGCCTCAGCCCCCTGAGTAGCTGGGACTACAGGTGCCTGCCACAACGCCCAGCTAATTTTTTGTATTTTTAGTAGAGACGGGGTTTCACCATGTTAGCCAGGATAGTCTCAATCTCCTGACCTCGTGATCCACCCGCCTCGGCCTCCCAAAGTGCTGGGATTACAGGCGTGAGCCACCGCGCCCGGCCCAGACACTCTTTTATTTATTTATTTAGCATAGTTCTGTAAAACTTTATCACATGCGTAGATTCACGTAATTACCACCACAACCAGAACACAAGAGTGAATACATCACATAGAAGAAACTCTGTCATGTTACCACTTAAGATTCACAGCTGCCCACATATCCTAAGCCCTGAAAACCACTTAACTGTTTTGTATTACTACAATTTGTCACCTCTAAAATGTTCTATAAATGGAATCATACAGTATTCAATACTTTGAAAGTGGCTATTTAACTCAGCATCCATCCAAGTTGTTGGGCATTATCAATAGTTAATTCCTGAAATGTTAAGAGCTAAACGATAAAACTCTTAGAAGAAAACATAGGGAAAAATATTCATGACATTGGATTTGGCAATGATTTCTTGGATATGACACCAAAAGCCCGGGTAACAAAAAGAAAAATAGCTTTCATTAAAATTAAAAACTTCTGTGCCTCAAAAGTCCCTATGAACAGAATAAAAAGATAATCCACAGGATAGAAGAAAATAGTTTCAAATCACATATCTCATAAAACATTAATATCCAGAATATATAGAAAACTTAAACCTGAGCAATAAAAAATAACACCAAACAACCTAATTAAAAAATGAGTCTGGGAGCACAGGGATCAATTTGCTCCACCCACTACAGCCAGTGGCCATACACACCATTGGAGGACCTGAGGTTATACCCAACCCACCTGCAGCTTCCACCAGTGCGGCCTGCATGCATTTTTTATCTGGAGGCCTGGGAATCCACCTGCCCTGCCCACCACTGCCAGTGCCCATGCACACCATCTGAGGGCCTGAGGATGGTCCTGATCTGTCCACTGCCACCACCACTACCAGTGCCCCAGCATGCTATCTGGGGACCTAGGGATAGATCCACCCTGCTCGTTGCAAGCGGCACCCACATGCACCACTGGAGTCATGATGATAGGCCAGACCTGCCTACATCCACCTTCACCAGTGCCCGCATGCATCATTCAGAAGCCTAGGGGTCAACTCACCCCAACTGCCGCTGCCAGTGTATATGCATGTTGTCCAGGGACCTGGAGATTGATCTTCTCCACCTGCTCCTACTGACACTCACATATACCCTCCAGGGGCCTGGGGATTGTTCTGCCCTGCCTGACACCACTGGCACTTATGTATGCCTTTCAGGGGCCTGAGAATAGACCTGTCCTGCCCATCACTTCCACCATGTGGATTTACTGAAGACCTTGGGACTGGCCTGCCCAACCTGCCACTGGCACTGGCACCCACATCTGTGTGCCACCTGGAGGCCTGGGGATTGGCCAATTCAGCCCACCACTGCAATTGCTGGTACTCACGTGCTGCAAGGGGGCTGAAGGGTTGGCCTCCTGCTGCTACTGCCACTGCTTATGCAATGAATGCTGCCAAGGGGCCTGCGGACCTGACACCCATCTGGCCCACTGCTGCCACTGCCAGCACTCAAGCAAGCCACCTGGAGGCCCAAGAATTGGTCTACCCAGACCTGCTACTACTAGTGCCCATGTAGGCTGCCAGGGGGTTCACGAACCTGATGTTTAGCCAGCTGTCCCTACCACTGGTGTCCATGGACCAGCCTGCCTGGTTCTCCTGTCCCCAACAAAGCCCCACCATAGCCTTCAATAACAACCACAGCCTAAGCCACTGCAAAACTCAGAGACATCATTGATGCTGATTATATAGCTGAAGAAATCATGCAGGGACTACACTACTGTGCCCATCCAGAATTAAAGCCAGAGTAACCTACCCAACCAACACTGAAGAAATATCCAAAGGAAAATGTCTTCCACTATGAAAGCCAATCTATAAAACTGAAAGAAGCAACTTTTATACCAGATGCACAGATACCAATGTATCTGTGCAAGACACAAGAAACATGAAAAAGCAAGGAAACATGGCTCTTCCAAAGGAACACAATAATTCTCTGTAACAGATCCCAACAAAAAGGAAATCTAAGAAATGTCTGAAAAGGAATTGAAAAAAATGACAATAAAGAAACTCAGAGAGGGAGGAGGAAAAAAAGAAACTTAGTGAGATACAAGAGAACACAAATAAACAACACAAAGAAAATAGGAAATCAATTCAAGATCTGAATGAGAGATTTAACAAACAGATAGATATTAAAGAAAAAGGTCAAACAGAAATCTTGGAACTGAAGAATTCAATGCATAAAATTAAAAATACAATTAAGAGCTTTAACAATGGACTTGATCGAGCAGAAGAAAGAATTTCTGAACTCGAAGACAGGTCTTTTGCAATAACCCAGTCAAACAAACAAAAAGAATAAGAAAGCATGAAGAAAGCCTATATGACATATGGGATACCATAAAGCAACCAGATATTTGAATTTTGAGAGCTCCAGAAGGTGGAGAGACAGGCAAACACATAGAAAAGCTATTTTACAAAATAATCGCTGAAAACTTCCCAAGCCTTGCAAGATATATAGATATCCAGGTACAGGAAGCTCAAAGATCTCCAAATAGATTTAACCCAAAAAAGGTTTTCTCCAAGGTACATGAATTTCAAACTGCCAAAAGGTAAAGGCAAAAAGAGAATTCTAAAATCAGCAAGAGAAAAGCATCAAGTCACATGTAAGGGAATCTTCCTCATATTAACAGTGGATTTCTCAGCAGAAACCTAATAGGCCAGGAGAGAATGAGATGATACAGTCAAAGTTCTAACTGCCAGTGTGGAATACAATACCTAGCAAAGCTATCCTTCAAAAATAAAGAAATGAAGTCTTTCCCAGGTAAGCAAAACCTGGGGGAATTCATCAACAATAGATCAGCCCTACAAGAAATGCTTAAGGAAGTCCTATATCTGGAAGTGAAAGGATGGTATCTACCATAATGAAAACACACAAAAGCATAAAACTCAATGGTATATCAATAACACAAAGAAGAAAGAGAAAGGAGTCAAATGTTACCACTACAGAAAACCACCAAACTGCAATGATAAACAATAAGAGAGAATGAAGGAACAAAGGATATACAAAAGAACCAGAAAAAAATTAACAGAATGACAGGAATAGTCCTCACCTATAAATAATAACCTTGAATGTAATGTAAATGAATTGAATTTTCCATTTAAATGACATTTACAGGCTGAATGGATTAAAAAAAAACACAATCCAACTATATATTGCCTATAAGAAACTCACTTCACTTGTAAAGATACATGAAGATTCATAGTGAAGGCATATAAAAAGTTATTCCACACAAATGGAGTCAAAGTGAGCAGGAGTAGCTATTCTTATAGTAGGTAAAACAGACTTTAAGTCAAAAACCATAAAAAGAGACAAAGAAAGTCATTAGATAATAATAAATAAATCAGTTCAGCAAGAGGATATAGCATTATTTAGAAATGTTATATGCATTCAGCCAGGCGCGGTGGCTCATGCCTGTAATCCCAGCACTTTGGGAGGCTGAGGTGGGTGGATCACCTGAGGTCAGGAGTTCGAGGCCAGCCTCACCAACATGGTGAAACCCTGTCTCTACTAAAAATACAAAATTAGCCAGGTGTGCTGGTGGGCGCCTATAATCCCAGCTACTCGGGAGGCTGAAGCAGGAGAATTGCTTGAACCTGGGAGGCGGAGGTTGCAGTGAGCCAAGATGGTGCCATTGCACTCCAGCCTGGGCAACAAGAACGAAATTCTGTCTCAAAAAAAAAAAAAAAAAAAAAAAAAGAAAAAGAAAAAGAAAAAAAAAAGAAAGAAATGTTATATGCACTCAACACACCCAGATATATAAAGCAAATATAATTACATCTAAAGGGAGAAATAGACCTCCATAAAAATAATAGCTGGGGAGTTCAACACCCCACTCTCAGCATTGGACAGAACTCTAGATAGAAAATCAACAAAGAAACACTGGATTCAAACTGCACTTCAGACTAAATGGACCTAACAGACATTTACAAAACATTTTGCATAAAAAGTACAGAATACACATTCTTTTAATCAACATGTGAAATGTTCTCCAGAAGTGGCCATATATTAGGACACAAAACAAATCTCAAACATTTTTTTAAAAATTGAATTCATATCAAGTGTCTTCTCTGACCACAGTGGAGTAAAATTAGATGTCAAAAACAAGAGGAATATTTGAAACTATAAAAATACATGGACGAAAGTGGACATTCTAGGGAAGAAAAGAACGCATGGAAATTAAACAACATGCTCCTAAATGACCATTGGGTCAGGAAAGAAATTAAGAATATATTAAAAAATTCCTTGACGCAAATGAAGATAGAAACACAACATATCAAAATCTATGGGATGCTGTAAAAGCACTGCTAAGAGAGAAGTTTATAGCAATAAACACCTAGGTCATAAAAGTAAAAGGATCTCAAATACACAACCTAATGCACCTCAAGGAACCAGAAAAGCAAGAACAAATCAAACCCAAAATTAGTAGAAAGAAAGAAAGAATAAAGATCAGAGCAGAACTAAATGAAATAGAGACTAAAACACATACAAAGAATCAACAAAACAAAAAGTTGATTTTTAAAAAAGATAAAATCGATAAACTGCTACTTAGAGTGACCAAGAAAAAAAGAGAGAAGACTCGATAAAATCAGAAACAAAAAGGACACATTACAACTGATGTGGATCCACAAACCTTCAAAGGATCCTTAAGGACTATTTATGAACCACTATATGCTAACAAATTGTGAAACCTAAAGGAAATGAATAAATTCCTGGACACGTAAAATCTACCATGATTATACCAGGAAGAAATAGAAAACCTGAATAGACCATTAATTAGTAACAGGATTGAATCTCCAATAAAATGTCTCCCAAAAAAGAAAAGCCCAGGACCAGATGGCTTTACTGCTGAATTTTACCAAACTTATAAAGAATAACTAATATCGGTTCTCTGCAAACTATTCCAAAAATTTGAAGGGGAGGAAATTCTCCCTAACTCATTTTACAAGGCAAGCGTTACCCTGACACCAAAACCAGACAAGGACACAACAACAACAACAAACTACAGGCCAATATCCCTGATGACAGAGATGCAAAAATTCAAAACAAAATACTAGCAAAATGAATCCAACAAGACATCAAAAAGATAATACACCATGATCAGGTGAGATTCATCCCAGGGATACAAGGGTGGTTCAACATATGCAAATCAATAAATATGATATATCACATCAACAGAATGAAGAACAAAAACCATATGATTGTCTTAACAGATGCAGAATAAGCATTTGATAAGATTCAACATCTCTTCATGATAAAAAAAAAAACTCGACAAATTAGGCATAGAAGGAACATACCTCAACATAATAAAAGCCATATATCACAGACCCACAACTAACATCATACTGAATGGGGAAAAGTTGAAAGCTTCTCCCTCTAAGAACTGGATCAAAACAAGGATGAAGGATGCCCACTTTTACCACTCCTATTCAACATAATATTGGAAGTCCTAGCCGAGCAATAGACAAAAGAAAAAAAAAAGGATCAAGGTTGGAAAATAAATTGTTCTTCTTTGCAGATGACACAATGACACAATTTTTTTTTTTTTTGGTGGGGGAAGGGGCACAGAATCTCACTCAGATCATGGCTCACTGCAGCCTCAAACTCCTGGGCTCAAGTGATCCTCCTGCTTTAGCCTCCCACGTAGCTGGCACTACAGGCACGTGCTACTATGCCTGGCTAATTTTTTTTTTTTTTTTTTTTAGAGATAGGGTCTCACTATGTTGCCCACACTTGTCTTGAGCTCCTCTCAAGCAATCCACACCACCTTGACCTCCCAAAGTGCTGGGATTACAGGTATGAGCCACCACACCCAGCCAACACAATCTTATATATAGAAAAACCTAGATTCCACCAAAAAAATGTGTAGAACTAGTAAATGAATTCAGTAGTTGCACAATACAAAATCAACATAGAAAAAACAGTAGTGTTTCTGGCCAGGCGCAGTGGCTCACGCCTGTAATCCCAGCACTTTGGGAGGCCAAGGTGGGCGGATCACAAGGTCAGGGTATTGAGACCATCCTGGCTAACACGGTGAAACCCCATCTCTACTAAAAATAAAAAAAAATTAGCTGGGCGTGGTGGCGGGTGCCTATAGTCCCAGCTAATCGAGAGGCTGAGGCAGGAGAATGGTGTGAACCTGGGAGGCGGAGCTTGCAGTGAGCCAAGATCGCGCCACTGCACTCCAACCTGGGTGACAGAGTGAGACTCTGTCTCAAAAAAAAAAAAAAAGAAAAGAAAAAACAGTAGTGTTTCTTACACCAATAACAAACTAGCTGAAAAACAAATCAAGAAAGCAATTCCATTTACAATAGTTACAAAAAAAATTACCTAGGAATAAATTTCAGGAAGTAAAAGACCTCTACAAAGAAAAGTATAAAACACTGAGGAAAAAAATTGAAGATGACATAAACAAATGGAAAGACATTCCATATTGCAGTATCAGACCAATTAATATTGTTAAAACGACCATACTACCCAGAGCAATGTACAAATTCAATGCAATCTCTATCAAAATATCAAGGACATTCTTTACAGAAATAGAAAAAAAAATCCTAAAATTCATATGGAACCACAAAAGATCCCAAGTAGCCAAAACAATAATGAGCAAAAAGAACAAAGCTAGGGGCATACACAACCTGACTTCAAGTACAGTACAAAGCTATAGTAAACAAAACAGCATGGTATTGTTATAAAAACATAGACTGATAGAATAGAGAATCCAGAAATAAATCCACATATTTACAGCCAACTAATTTTTGACAAAGGCACCAAGAACATACATTTGGGAAAGGATGCCCTCTTCAATAAATTGTGCTGGGAAAACTGGATATCCATATGCAGAAGGATGAAATTAAACCTTTATCTCTCACTATATATATATCAACTCAAAATGAATTAAAGACTTAAAGGTAAGACATGAAACTATAAAACTACTAGAAGAAAACAGAGGAAATGCTTTAGGACGTTGGTCTGGGCAAACATTTTACAGCTAAGACTTCAAAAGCATATGCAACAAACACAAAAATAGACAAATGGGACTTTATTAAATTAAAAAGCTTCTACACAGCAAAGGAAACAATCAATGAAGTGAAGAGACAGTCTGTAGAATGGGAGAAAATACTTGCAAACTATTCATCTGATAGGTAACCTCATATGCTGTTGGTAGGAATGTAAATCGGTACAACTCCTATGGAAAACAGTATGGAAATTTTTCAAAAAACTAAACATGAAACTACCATGCAATCCAGCAATCCCACTACTAGGTATTTATCCAAAGGAAATGAAATCAGGATGTCAAAGGGATACCTGAACCCCCATGTTTATTGTAGCATTATTCACAATAGCCAAATATGGAAACAACCTAAATATTCAGCAATGGAAGAATGGGTAAAGAAAATGCAGTCTATATATATGATGTAATACTATTCAGCTATAAAAAAAAAGAATGAAAACCTGTCATTTGCAGCAATATGCATGGAACTGGAGGCTATTATTTTGAGTGAAATATACCAGGCATAGAAAGAGAAATATCATATGTTCTCATATGTGGGAGCTAAAAAAGTGGATTTCATGGAGGCAGAGAGTTGAAAAGCGGTCACCAGATGCTGGGAAGGCTGGTGGGGGTGGTGGTGAAGAGAGGCTGGTTAATGGATATAAACACACAGTTAGATAGAATAAGCTCTAGTGTTTGATAGCATAGTAGGGTGAAGCTTAATCATTTATTGTATATTTGAAAATAGCTAAGAAAGTTGATTTTTAACATTCTCAGCACAAAAAAAAAGATAAATGTTTGAGGTGATGGATATCCCAATTACCCTGATTTGATCATTACACATTGTATATGGGTACCAAAATATCACATATACCCCCAAAATAATCTATACACAATCTAATAAGATTATTAACAAGATTATCAAAAATCTTGTTACTCAATAAAAACAAAATAAAACTCCCTCCTCCAAAGACAAAACAAAACAAGTGTTAGTGAGGCTGTAGAGGAATTGGAACCTTTGTGTACTGTTAATGGGAATGTAAGATGGTGGAGGTGCTATGGAAAATGGTGTGGCAGTTTCTCAAAACAATAAAAATAGAATTACCATGGGATCTAGCAGTTCCATTTCTGGGTATATACCCAAAAGTTTTTAAAGCAGGGATATGAGCAGATATTTGTGCATCCATGTTCATAGCAGCATTGTTCACAAAAGCCAAAAGGTGGAAGCAACCCATGTGTCCAGTGATGGATGAATGGACACACAGAATGTGGTATATTTTATATATATATGATGGAATATTATTCAGCCTTAAAAAGGGAAGAAATTCTGAAACATGCTAAAACATGGGTGAACCTTGAAGACATTATGCTAAGTGAACTAAGTTACAAAAGGTCAAAAATATTGTATGATTCCATTTACATAAATTATCTACAAGCCAGTATGAAACCCTGATCTTAAACTTCTAGCCTCTAGAACTGACAGGAGATAAATTTCTGTGTTTTTTGGTTTTGTTTTGTTTTTGTTTTTGTTTTTTGAGATGGGGTCTCGCTCTGTCACCCAGGCTGGAGTGCAGCGGCGTGATCTCGGTTTACTGCAACCTCCGCCTCCCGGGTTCAAGTGATTCTCCTGCTTCAGCCTCCTGAGTAGCTGGGACTACAGGTGTGTGCCACCATGCCCAGCTAATTTTTTGTATTTTTAGTAGAGATGGGCTTTCACTGTGTTAGCCAGGATGGTCTCCATCTCCTGACCTCGTGATCCACCCACCTCGGCCTCCCAAAGTGCTGGGATTACAGGCATGAGCCACCACGCCCAGCCAAATTTCTGTTTTTTAAGCCACCCGGTCTATGGTATGTTGTTAGGATCACCTGAGCTGACTAATAACATGTATGCTGGAAACATACATGTTAAGCAAATGGATGGCAGATGGTGGGAGTCTAGTTTCTTATTCTTAAGGTAGGAGATTACAGCTAAGCAAGCAAGGAGTCCAGAATGATTAATGTGGTCATAGATTAGGGTTGAAGCCATCTGTATAAACTCACATTTAGCTTAATATAAATACAGATAGTTAAATATGGAAAAATTTATAGATATGTGTGTATATATGCTTGGATTAGTACACACATATATGTTTCCTTGCTCTGACAGCTGAGAGAGGAAAACAACCAAACATCAAAAAGCACACCTAGTACCCCGATCTTGATGTCTAATACCTTTCTCTAATAAAGGAACCGAAACGGTCCAGAGCTCCTAGGAGAAATGCCTGATTCTAGGACTGGGAATGTAAGATGGTGCACGTGCTATGATGCAGGAATTATACCGGATTAGCTTGGAGCATCTTATAGTGCCAGTAAGAAAGAGAGTGTTAACAACAAAGAAAACAACAAAACAACCAAACAACAAAACCCCACGATGATGAGAGAATGTCAAAGGGATGCAGGAGCTGACTGAAAGAGCTCCCAATAAATAAAGTAGTATTGGATTGTAACCCAAAACATAAAATAAATATTCATGAGTCCACAGTGATATAAATAAATGATTGAATAAGTAAATAAATAAATCAGGGATAAGACAAGTTTGCCATAAAATAAGAATTCCAAAAATATTTATGTAGATACTCCTTTCCTTAAGAAGGTAAAGTATAACTGTACTGAGTGACTTACTTCCAAGGCGAACAACATGGACAGGGAGAAGAAAGAGGAACTTTACAGTAGAGGATCACAATCACAAGCCAGGTGATGAACGCAAACATCAGCAGCGACACATCATATGATTGTATGCGCCCTTGATTGCGCGTAATGGGAATGCCACTTTACTTCTGCGGTCTTCCTGCCTGAAACACCTAACTCCAATCTGATTATGAGAAAAATCTCAGATGAATCCCAATGGACTGACATTTTACAAAATATCTGACCAGCAATCCTCAACATTTCCAAGGGCATCAAAAGCCATGAAAGTCTAGAAACTGTCACAATTAAGAACGTAAAGAGACAAGACAACTAAATATAATTTGCTATTCCTGGTGGGATTCTGGAATACAAAATGAACATTAGCTGAGGAAATGTGAATAAAATATGGACTTCTATTAATAATAATGTAACAATATTGGTTCAGTAATTATGACAAATATACAACAGGAAGATATTAATAATAGAGAAAACTAGGTGTGGGATAAACAGGAACTCCTTGTACTATCTTTGTAATAATTCTGGAAAACTAAAACTGTTCTAAAAGAAAAAGTGTTTTTGAAAAGTGAATGAATGCAAGGTGAGGACATAGAAACCTTATATTTAAAAAACTCTTTCAAAATGCTTAGATATGAAATAAAAGGAACATGGTATTGCCATCAGTATTTCAAGTGCAGATAAATAGCTGGATATTTGTGTGCTCTTTTATTTGTTAAACATGGTGAACAGAGGAATATTTAACTGTCCCACATTGGTTTTACATTCTACTATGGTTACCATGTTAAATAAAAAAGAAACATGCTTATACACAGAGTCAAAAATAAAACTTTAGAAAAAAAGGAAAAAAATAAGCATGAAATATCTCCAGGTCATAGAAAACTATAAAAGTGAAACACAAAATTTGTTAAATAACCAAATAAAATGTCTGAAAATAACTGATATGAGTAACTCAGTGAGTGGGTTTAATAGCATATTAGAAATAATTTTCTAGGTGCAGTGGCTCCCACCTGTAATCCCAGTGCTTTGGGAGGCTGAGGTGGGTGGATCGCTTGAGCCCAGAGGTTTGAGACTAGCCTGGGCAATGTGGCAAGACCTGGTCTCCACAAAAATTAGCCAAGTGTGGTGGTGTGTGTCTGTGGCTCTAGCTACATGGGAGGATCACTTGAGCCCAGGAGGCTGAGGCTGCAGTGAGCCATGATTGTGCCACTGCACTGCAGCCTGGGTGACAGAGTGAGACCTCGTCTCAAAAGAAACAAAAATTTTAAAAAGAAATTATTTTAGCAACCTAGAAGTTGGTCAGAAGAAATAGCTGAGCCAAACGTGGCACAGAGAGATAAAAAGAGGGAATATATTGATAAGAGGGTAAACGTGATGGCAGATGAATCAGATGGGTCTAATATATGTTGAAATGGAATTTCAGGAGATAGAATAAGAACATGTTTATTTGGAATCCCAGAGGAAAGGGAGAAAAATGATGAGGCACAGACAATATTTGAAAAGACGTGGCTAATAATTTTCAGAAGATTGTGGAAACCCCAATCCACAGATTCATAAAGTCAAATAATTCCAAGTAGAGTAAATTTTTTTTAATTCACATTTAGATACATCATAGTAAAACTGCAGAAAACAAAAGACAAAGAGAAAAATCTCAAAAGCAGCCAGAGGAGAAAAGATGGATTACTTACTTATTCAACACCTCTTGTAACCTGTAGCACCCTACTTTTTAATCTAGCCAATTCTGGCAACACACTTCACACATTTATAACCTGATAGAATCTCCCATCAACTCTAGCATCATCAACTCAAGCATCATTTTCCCTTCTCTGTCAAGGCCTGTCTATCCCTGCATCTTGGCTGCCCGTGGAAACCTATTCTGCACTTAGATATGCACAACCAGGACAGGAAGTACCAGGAGTTAACAAGCCAGGGGGAAACCTCTGACCAATGGGGGATGGGAACCTTTCTCTCCTCTGTGAGGCAACTCTGAGGCATTTTCTGTTCTTCTGTTGGACAATTTTCAAACCTATTCTACATGGCTTCTTGGAGGAGCTCAGCAAGATTGTGCTCTAGTGGTCCACGGCAGTGATAGCCTAAAAATTGTATCTCCCTCCTTTCCTGGCACACTTTTCCTGGTCCTCCACTCTTATTTCCTGGCATCACCTCCAAAAATGAACTACAAGCACACTTCTGGGGAGCCCAGGTTAAGACACTTTCGAAGGAGTGAACAGGCAGAAAGATGGTTTCCTAACAGCAACAGTGGAAGTAAGGAGCCGGTGAAACAGTGTCTTTAAAACACTGAGACAGAAAAACTGCTAACTGGCAACTGAAGAGAGTTGCCAGTTAAAAAGAATATACACAGGCAGAACAAATATAAAGCAAATCTAAGAATATATTGTGTCTCTATTAGATGAAAACGAACTTAATGCTCTAATTAAAGACATATAATGCCAGTCAAGATAAAAAACAGAAACAAAAACTCAACTTTATAGTGTTTATAAGACACATATTAAAAATATAAGTCTGGTTTGAGTTGGTGTTTGAAAAAAACTGTAAGGATACAGGAAGCTTAAAGTAAAAGCAGGAAAAATGTACAGCCACATACAAATATTCATCCCCCCAAATCTGGTTTAGCTATATCAGAAAAACACATTGTAAAACAAAGCATTTCTAAAGATAAAGGTGGTCATCACTTCATTTCATCATTGTGGATGATTGATCAAAACTGTAGTTTCAAAATAATCCCCTCAATCTGCTCATGTGAAAAAAAAAAGCCCTGATTCGGTTATGGCAGATATCTTGAAGGCAGTGACACCTAATTAGAGACCTAAAACATGAGTAGAAGTTACTGAGATGAAGAAAATGGCTGCGCGGTTGATGTGCAGGGAACAGCATCAGCCAAGACACAGATGCATAGAACAGCAGGTGTGTGTGAGGAGACAGCAGAGTCCAGTGGCCGGAGGCAAGATGTGTAGAGAGCTGAGGCCAGAGAAGAGGGGCAGAGGCAGATAAGGTTTTGTATTTCACATTAAGAGCCTAAGAGTTAAGAGTCTATGCTGTTTCTAATGGAGAGCCATAGAAAGGATTTAATAAAATTATATCATCATGGATAAATGTGCAGATGAAAAGAAAGTATTAAGTATGAATGCACTAAATAACATTAAAATGTGCATATTTACTTAAAATGATTAGAAATTAAGTCAATATCATACTTAAAGTGTTTAATTACCATTAATTTATTTTATTCCCTCTAAAGTTGATTACCAGATGAAACAATTGGTTGCGTATCCTTCTGATTTATCAATCCTTCCCTTGTGAATTTGATTACCATGAGATAGGATAATATGCTATTTAAAAATCAGACAGCTCTTGACTCATTAAAATGTAAACAGTCCCATGAGAAATTAACAGTTAGCTAATTCCTCATTTTAGATTTTTCTTTAATACATTTCAATTGTAACAGAAGACAAAATTTAAATCTTGAAAGAGGTAAATTTGTAACAAAAAAAGAAAGGATTTATTTATTCACTGTGTTGGACCTTTAGAAAATTCATTTATCTTCAAGTGATAAAGGATTCAATAAGTGATTAGACAGATTTTTAAAGAAGGTTTTGATATGGATGCTCAAGGAACATCTCTAAAGCACCTTAATGGTCAGCCCCTTCATGAATGATGAGGTTAATAGAAAATATGCCCTATACACCAATAACAGAAAAGCAGAGAGCCAAATCATGAGTGAACTCCCATTCATAATTGCTACAAAGAGAATAAAATATCTAGGAATACAACTTACAAGGGATGTGAGGGACCTCTCAAGGAGAACTACAAACCCCTGCTCAAGGAAATAAGAGAGGACACAAACAAATGGAAAAAATTCCATGCTCATGGATAGGAAGAATCAATGTTGTGAAAATGGCCATACTGCCAGCAGTAATTTATAGATTCAATGCTATTCCCATCAAGCTACCACTGACTTTCTTCACAGAACTAGAAAAAACTACTTTAAATTTCATATGGAACCAAAACAGAGCCTGAATAGCCAAGACGATCCTAAGCAAAAAGAACAAAGCTAGAGGCATCACGCTACCTGACTTGAAACTATACTACAAAGCTACAGTAACCAAAACAGCATGGTACTGGTAACAAAACAGATATATAGACCAATGGAACAGAACAGAGGCCTCAGAAATAACGCCACACATTTACAACCATCTGATCTTCGACAAACCTGACAAAAATAAGCAATGGGGAAAGGATTCCCTATTTAATAAATGATACTGGGAAAACTGGCTAACCTTATTCAGAAAACAGAAACTGGACCCCTTCCTTAAACCTCACACAAAAATTAACTTAAGATGGATTAAAGACTTAAATGTAAAACCTAAAACCATAAAAACCCTAGAAGAAAACCTAGGCAATACCATTCAGGATATAGGCATGGGCAAAGACTTCATGACTAAAACACCAAAAGCAATTGCAACAAAAGCCAAAATTGACAAATGGGATCTAATTAAGCTAAAGAGCTTCTGCGGAGCAAAAGAAACTACCATCAGAGTGAAAAGGCAAACTACAGAATGGGAGAAAATTTTTGCAATCTATCCATCTGACAAAAGTCTAATATCCAGAATCTACAAGGGACTTAAACAAATTTACAATTAAAAAAACAACTCCATCAGAAAGTGGGCAAAGGATATAAGCAGGCACTTCTCAAAAGAAGACATTTATGCAGCCAGCAAACATATGAAAAAAAAGCTCATCATCACTGGTCATAAGAGAAATGCAAATCAAATCCATAATGAGATACTATCTTGCACCCAGTTAGAATGGCTATCATTAAAAAGTCTGGAAACAACAGATGCTGGTGAGGATGCAGAGAAATAGGAACGTTTTTACACTGTTGGTGGGAGTGTAAATTAGTTCAACCATTGTGGAAGACAGTGTGGCAATTCCTCAAGGATCTAGAACCAGAAATACCATTTGACCCAGCAATCCCATTAGTGGGTATATAACCCAAAGGATTATAAATCATTCTAATATAAAGACACATGCACACGTATGTTTATTGCAGCACTATTCACAACAGCAAAGACTTGGAACCAACCCAGATGCCCATCAATGAGAGACTGGATAAAGAAAATGTGGCACATATATACCATGGAATACTATGCAGTCATAAAAAAGGATGAGTTCATGTCCTTTGCAGGGACATGGATGAAACTGGAAACCATCATCTTCAGCAAACTAACACAAGAACAGAAAACCAAACACCACATGTTCTTACTCATAATTGGGAGTTGAACAATGAGAACACATGAACACAGGGAGGGGAACATCACACACCATGGCCTGTCGAGGGGTGGGGGGGAAGGGGAGGGAGAGCATTTGGCCAAATACCTAATGCATACAGGGCTGAAAACCTAGATGATGGGTTGATAGGTGCAGCAAACTACCATGGCACATGTATACCTATGTGACAAAACTGCACATTCTGTACATATATCTCTGAACTTAGAGTAAAATTTAAAAATAAATAAATAAAAAGAAAAAAGAAAATATGAAGAATGTTCAATTAGAGTTCTAAAGAAAGGTTTATTATTGTAGAGATTAAGCATAAGTTCAAAACTACTATAATGGCTAAACTAAAAGGGATCATGCAAATGTATTTAGTTAGGTGTGGGCAGCTTAAAATCCTGTCTATTGATTATAAATTTTTCACAGTCCCTACAAAAGAAAGGCAGCATTCTGTTCTTACTATGACGATACTAATGTTTCCACCTACTATTGAAGGTTCTTCTGCATTCCCCAGCAACTCATCAGGATCTGCACTTTCTGGATCATATGCCCACACAGTGATAAGCTAGAAAATAAAATTTGTTTGCATTTCTTTACATTTTGTACAAATTTCTTTTTTAGTTGTGGCAAAACATAACCATAAACATGTTTTTATTTTTTTATTTTTTTGAGATGGAGTCTTGCTCTGTCGCCCAGGCTGGAGTGCAGGGGTGCAATCTCAGCTCACTGCAACCTCTGCCTCCTGGGTTCAAGCAATTCTCCTGCCTCAGCCTCCCGAGTAGCTGGGATTACAGGCGCCCACCACCATGCCTGGCTAATTTTTGTATTTTTAGTAGAGACGGGGTTTCACCATGTTGGCCAGGTTGGTCTCAAACTCCTGACCTCAGGTGATCTGCCTGCCTTGGCCTCCCAAAGTGCTGCGATTACAGGCGTGAGCCACCACGCCCAGCCCATCTTTCTTTATAGCCATAAATAGACATGACAACCTCACCCCCCCACTCACATACTTTTTATAAAAATGAAATCACGCTTGTAACTTAACATTTGTCACTTGATGAGAGTTCAATAGATGCAGAACTAATTTTCTTTCTTATTTTTCTTGAATATTCATATACTTAAAAATTATATTAAAAATATAGCAAAAGCTGTCTCTCCCACCCTGTACTCCATCACTCAATTCCCATAAATCCATCTGCACCCCATAGGTAAGTATTATTCGTAAGTTCTTGCTTAGATTCCTATAAAATGTTTGTGTATAACCAATAGATATATTATTTTCATCCCTTTTACAAAATGCTAGCATGCTAAACATATTTTTTCTGAATCTTCTGTTCATCATCTAAAGTTATTTTAGAGATCTTTACATATTTTCACTGATTTTTCAGTTGGATGTTATTCTAAATTATGGAGGAACTACAATTTATTTAACCAGTAACCTACTGATAAACGTTTGTTTCTCCCTTGCCATTATAATCAGTCAATGCTACAATGAGCAACTTTGTACAACTTTGAGCATATTGGTAGGGCACATTCCTAAAAGTGTAATTGTTGAGTCATGGGGTAAATACACTGCAATTTTCATAGATACTGATAAACTGCTCTCTGCAGCAGTTGCACCAATATGCCCTCTCAGTGGTGATGTATGAGAGTTCTTCTTTCCTCATGTTCTTTCCCAACATCAGGTTTTGTCATACATTGATTACTGCCAGTCTGATGGATGAAAAATGGTACTGTGGTATCATTTTTTAAAATTTTTATTTATTTTTATTTGAGATGGAGTTTTGCTCTGTCGCCCAGGCTGGAGTGCAATGGTGCAATCTCACCTCACTGCAACCTCCACCTCCTGGGTTCAAGTGATTTTCCTGCCTCAGCTTCCCGAGTAGCTGGGATTACAGGTGCCCAGCACCATGCCCGGCTATTTTTTATATTTTTAGTAGAGATGGGGTTTCGCCATGTTGGCCAGGCTGGTCTCGAACTCCTGACCTCAGGTGATCTGCCTGCCTCGGCCTCCCAAAGTGCTGGGATTACAGGCATGAGCCAGCATATCCAGCCTGGTACTGCAGTATAGTTTAAATCTGCATTTCTCTTATTTTGAGAAAGTTTGAGCAACTTTCCATATGTTCAAGTTCCACTTGGATTTCATTCGCTCATTTTTTTTTTGTTGGATTGTTTCTCTTTTAATGGTTTATTTGAAATTTTTTTACGTATTAAGAAGACATTGATTTGTTTACTTGAATCAGTTGTATTTTTCTACCTGTATTCCATTTTCTTTTGAGTTTATGATAATTTTTGGCCATGTTATCTGTCATTTACTTATCTTCCAGCTTTATGGAGTAAAAATTATCATATAGCTTGGTTTGCTTTCTGGATTTTGTGATATAGTTAGAAAGGTCTCCAATTACCAGGTTGTAAGAGAATTCTTCCATGTTTTCTTTAATTGTTACTGGATTTATTGTATTTACATATTCAATGTAAAATTATTTTGAATTTATTTTGGTGTACTATGTAAGGTATGACTCCAATCTTTGCTTTTTATTAAGTAAGTGTGACTACCCACTTATCTAAATATCATTTATTGACTAGTCCATCTTCTCCCCAGGGATTTGAGATGCTACCTTCATTGCTTAGTAAAGACCTAACTGTATTTTGGTTATTTCTGGATTCTTATGCTTTTGTATTGATCTTGACTGCCTTTTCAAGAGTTAGTATCTCACACTTTAAATATGAAGGCTTCACTGTGTATTTCAATGCCTGCCATGACCAGTACCCTATCCCTGTTCTTATTCAGTGTTTTTCTGAACACTGTTTTTGTTTAATCCATAGCAATTCTGGAAACATCTTGTCTAGTTCTGAAAAAGTATATTTTTTTCATTAAGATGGCATTGCATTTATAAATTCAGGAAAATCCGTATCTTTATGTTGTAGAGGACATTTATTAAGGAAATAGTATGCCTTTCCTTCAGGAGAGTTCTGAAGTTTTGTCATATAGGTATAATGCATGTTATTAAGTAAAACTCCCATGTGAGACATTGACAAGTGGAGAGAATTATCTTTGCTTTTGTACTCTTTCAGATTCAAATCAGATACACCAGCTCACACATGAGTCAAAAGTTCAACTGGTTTCACCTCATCCCAGCCAAGTCTACCCATCCATCATTGGCCAGTTTGCTCTTCTGTCCTGCCTCCAACCTTAGCTAGTGGTCCTAAGCGTGAAAACACTCTCAGGCTTTTGTTCACCTAGCAAGGACTCATTCTTCTGGAATGTAACACCTTTAGATTTCATTTTACTCACAGCTCTTTGATTCTTTAAAGGATTTTAAAATTTTATCATGTGATTTCTTTTTAAAGCAGGAGTAAAGGTGTTTTGTGTCCTTTACTATCTGCCTGGAGGTCTTAATTGTTTAGTTTAAACGATTGGTTTCTTTTTTGGCCCATGGATACAGAAATGTTTAAATTCCCCAACATGGGGATTTTCTAGGTAATTTTGTTACTGATCCTTTTTTGTTTTTGTTTTTGTTACTGATTTCACACGCCTGAATATAAATCAAAACTCAGCAAGGTCACGTCATGGAAATAGGTTTTGCAATCACTTCCGCCTGGGCGCTATGTGTTTGACTGCTTGCAAAGTTGTATTTGTATTTATTTCTTAGCTGTAGGTTCCGAATCTCTTGGGCTGTTAAATTAGGATGTGCATCTGAAATCTGGGTAATCCCTTATCTGTTTACAGCCCCAAAAAGAGGTGTATCATTTCTTTGTAATTATCCTAAGCCAGTCAGTAGAGCTTTACCAGTCCCCATTTTACAGACATTTATACATTTTAAATATTTTATTATTATTATTATTTTTTAAGATGGAGTCTCGCTCTGTCGCCAGGCGGGAATGCAGTGGCGCAATCTCGGCTCACTGCAATCTCTGACTCCCTGGTTCAAGTGATTCTCCAGCCTCAGCCTCCCGAGTAGCTGGGATTACAGGCATGCACCACCATGCTGAAATAATTTTTGTATCTTTAGTAGAGACTGGGTTTCACTGTGTTGGCCAGGATGGTCTCAATCTCCTGACCTCATGATCTGCCTGCCTCAGCCTCCCAAAGTTCTGGGATTTGTACAGGCGTGAGCCACCGCTCCTGGCCAAGACATTTTCTAAATCCTAACTTCATATAGGGAGGTTAGTTTCAGCTCCCTTTACTCCCACAGGCCGAAACTTTCATTCCCTATTCCCATAAAATCATTAAAACATCACCCCTTTTTCACTACTTTTAACTATAAAATAAAACAAAAAAGGAATAATATTCATTTGTATGTTTAGTTGTATATTTTCTAGAAAGCTCACATTCTGTTCTAATTCAATCTTGCAACTCTGGCTTTGAGTTCCTTAATTATTTCTGACCATCAGGAAATTCCTTTTCCTGCTCTTAAATTCCATATGCACACCGCACCTATATTAACGTAAAGGTCTGTGAGTGTGTGTACTGGCAGTGTACACACATATATTTTCTATAGGCATTTCTGTGTTTTGAGTGAGAAGGAGGTTATTCTGCATTATTTGAGTCTGTAATATATATTCTACTTCTGTAAGTTCTCTTATATTTTCTATGTATATTAAAATTCCTTAATTACTGATAATATTATTATTTGCTTTTGAGCATTGTTATAGTTGTAGCCTCAAAAAATAATTCCGTAATATCAATGGGATTTGGAGTAGGAGTAGTTATGGGCACATGAGCTTACGCAATCATCTTGATCCACTACACACAGTTTATCTTTTTTTACTACTTCTTTTTTTCTGGTAAGTTGCTGCTTTTAGAGACTTACAATATCTATATAGAGGTGTAATTTCCAAATATTATAACCTTATTTCAATTTTCAACATTTTGAATATATCTTTCCATCACACTTCTAATCATCCTCTATTCCAGAATTTTAAAACTTTTTGATCTTAGGACCCCCTTCATACTTTTTTTTTTTATTATACTTTAAGTTTTAGGGTACATGTGCACAATGTGCAGGTTTGTTACATATGTATACATGTGCCATGTTGGTGTGCTGCACCCATTAACTCGTCATTTAGCATTAGGTATATCTCCTAATGCTATCCCTCCCCCCTCCCCCCACCCCACAACAGTCCCCAGAGTGGGATGTTCCCCTTCCTGTGTCCATGTGTTCTCATTGTTCAATTCCCACCTATGAGTGAGAATATGCGGTGTTTGGTTTCTTGTCCTTGTGATAGTTTGCTGAGAATGATGGTTTCCAGTTTCATCCATGTCCCTACAAAGGACATGAATTCTTCATTTTTTATGGCTGCATAGTATTCCATGGTGTATATGTGCCACATTTTCTTAATCCAGTCTATTGTTGTTGGACATTTAGGTTGGTTCCGAGTCTTTGCTATTGTGAATAGTGCCGCAATAAACATACGTGTGCATGTGTCTTTATAGCAGCATGATTTATAATCCTTTGGGTATATACCCAGTAATGGGATGGCTGGGTCAAATGGTATTTCTAGTTCTAGATCCCTGAGGAATCGCCACACTGACTTCCACAATGGTTCAACTAGTTTACAGTCCCATCAACAGTGTAAAAGTGTTCCTATTTCTCCACATCCTCTCCAGCACCTGTTGTTTCCTGACTTTTTAATGATCGCCATTCTAACTGGAGTGAGATGGTATCTCATTGTGGTTTTGATTTGCATTTCTCTGATGGCCAGTGATTGATGAGCATTTTTTCATGTGTTTTTTGGCTGCATAAATGTCTTCTTTTGAGAAGTGTCTGTTCATATCCTTCACCCACTTTTTGATGGGGTTGTTTGTTTATTTCTTGTAAATTTGTTTGAGTTCATTGTAGATTCTGGATATTAGTCCTTTGTCAGATGAGTAGGTTGCAAAAATTTTCTCCCATTTTGTAGGTTGCCTGTTCACTCTGATGGTAGTTTCTTTTGCTGTGCAGAAGCTCTTTAGTTTAATTAGATCCCATTTGTCAGTTTTGGCTTTTGTTGCTGTGGCTTTTGGTGTTTTAGACATGAAGTCCTTGCCCATGCCTATGTCCTGAATGGTATTGCCTAGGTTTTCTTCTAGGGTTTTTATGGTTTTAGGTCTAACATGTAAGTCTTTAATCCATCTTGAATTAATTTTTGTATAAGGTGTAAGGAAGGGATCCAGTTTCAGCTTTCTACATATGGCCAACCAGTTTTCCCAGCACCATTTATTAAATAGGGAATCCTTTCCCCATTGCTTGTTTTTCTCAGGTTTGTCAAAGATCAGATGGTTGTAGATATGTGGCAGTATTTCTGAGGGCTCTGTTCTGTTCCATTGATCTATATCTCTGTTTTGGTACCAGTACCATGCTGTTTTGGTTACTGTAGCCTTGTAGTATATATAGTTTGAAGTCAGGTAGCATGATGCCTCCAGCTTTGTTCTTTTGGCTTAGGATTGACTTGGAGATGCGGGCTCTTTTTTGGTTCCATATGAACTTTAAAGTAGTTTTTTCCAATTCTGTGAAGAAAGTCATTGGTAGCTTGATGGGGATGGCATTGAATCTGTAAATTACCTTGGGCAGTATGGCCATTTTCACGATATTGATTCTTCCTACCCATGAACATGGAATGTTCTTCCATTTCTTTGTATCCTCTTTTATTTCATTGAGCAGTGGTTTGTAGTTCTCCTTGAAGAGGTCCTTCACATCCCTTGTAAGTTGGATTCCTAGGTATTTTATTCTCTTTGAAGCAATTGTGAATGGGAGTTCACTCATGATTTGGCTCTCTGTTTGTCTGTTATTGGTGTATAAGAATGCTTGTGATTTTTGTACATTGATTTTGTATCCTGAGACTTTGCTGAAGTTGCTTATCAGCTTAAGGAGATTTTGGGCTGAGACGATGGGGTTTTCTAGATATACAATCATGTCGTCTGCAAACAGGGACAATTTGACTTCCTCTTTTCCCAATTTAATACCCTTTGTTTCCTTCTCCTGCCTAATTGCCCTGGCCAGAACTTCCAACACTATGTTGAATAGGAGTGGTGAGAGAGGGCATCCCTGTCTTGTGCCAGTTTTCAAAGGGAATGCTTCCAGTTTTTGCCCATTCAGTATGATATTGGCTGTGGGTTTGTCATAGATAGCTCTTATTATTTTGAGATATGTCCCATCAATACCTAATTTATTGAGAGTTTTTAGCATGAAGGGTTGTTGAATTTTGTCAAAGGCCTTTTCTGCATCTATTGAGATAATCATGTGGTTTTTGTCTTTGCTTCTGTTTATATGCTGGATTACATTTATTGATTTGCATATGTTGAACCAGCCTTGCATCCCAGGGATGAAGCCCACTTGATCATGGTGGATAAGCTTTTTGATGTGCTGCTGGATTCAGTTTGCCAGTATTTTATTGAGGATTTTTGCATCAATGTTCATCAAGGATATTGGTCTAAAATTCTCTTTTTTGGTTGTGTCTCTGCCAGGCTTTGGTATCAGGATGATGCTGGCCTCATAAAATGAGTTAGGGAGGATTCCCTCTTTTTCTATTGATTGGAATAGTTTCAGAAGGAATGGTACCAGCTCCTCCTTGTACCTCAGGTAGAATTGGGCTGTGAATCCATCTGGTCCTGGACTTTTTTTGGTTGGTAAACTATTGATTATTGCCACAATTTCAGAGCCTGTTATTGGTCTATTCAGAGATTCAACTTCTTCCTGGTTTAGTCTTGGGAGAGTGTATGTGTCAAGGAATTTATCCATTTCTTCTGGATTTTCTAGTTTATTTGTGTAGAGGTGTTTGTAGTATTCTCTGATGGTAGTTTGTATTTCTATGGGATCGGTGGTGATATCCCCTTTATCATTTTTTATTGCATCTATTTGATTCTTCTCTCTTTTCTTCTTTATTAGTCTTGCTAGCGGTCTATCGATTTTGTTGGTCTTTTCAAAAAACCAGCTCCTGGATTCATTAATTTTTTGAAGGGTTTTTTGTGTCTCTATTTCCCTCAGTTCTGCCTGATTTTAGTTATTTCTTGCCTTCTGCTGCCTTTTGAATGTGTTTGCTCTTGCTTTTCTAGTTCTTTTAATTGTGACGTTAGGGTGTCGATTTTGGATCTTTCCTGCTTTCTCTTGTGGGCATTTAGTGCTATAAATTTCCCTCTACACACTGCTTTGAATGTGTCCCAGAGATTCTGGTATGTTGTGTCTTTGTTCTCGTTGGTTTCAAAGAACATCTTTATTTCTGCCTTCATTTCGTTATGTACCCAGTAGTCATTCAGGAGCAGGTTGTTCAGTTTCCATGTAGTTAGCGGTTTTGAGTGAGTTTCTTAGTCCTGAGTTCTAGTTTGATTGCACTGTGGTCTGAGAGACAGTTTGTTATAATTTCTGTTCTTTTACATTTGCTGAGGAGAGCTTTACTTCCAAGTATGTGGTCAATTTTGGAATAGGTGTGGTGTGGTGCTGAAAAAAATGTATATTCTGTTGATTTGTGGTGGAGAGTTCTGTAGATGTCTATTAGGTCCGCTTGGTGCAGAGCTGAGTTCAATTCCTGGGTATCCTTGTTAACTTTCTGTCTCGTTGATCTGTCTAATGTTGACAGTAGGACCCCCTTCATACTTTTAAAAATTATTAAGAATCCTACAAGGCTTTTGTTTTATGTGGTTTAGATCCACCTGTATTTACTATATAACAAATTAAAATTGAGAACATTTAAAGATAATTTTTTTTCAAGACTATGGTAAATTTATTATATGTTAATTAACGTATTTTTATGAAAAATAACTATTTTTCAAAAGAAAAATATCAGTAAGAATGGATGCTCAATATTTTAAAAACTATCTTTAATATTTGTATTAATAAAAGACAGCTGGATAATCATCTCTGCTCCTTCAGCCAAGTTGTTGGTGAATATTATCTCGGTAGAAGTAAAAGGGGGGAAGATCCATCCTTATGCAGATAGGTGGTTAGAAAAGGGTGAACCTCATGGACCTCCTGAATGGGTCTTATAGAAAGGTATACTCTAAGCAAATATCATTGCAAAATTCATTTGAAAAATTCCTCATCTGGTAAATATGGAAGATAAGAGAGAAACAATATACTAGTGATATATGAAGGCTATACAAAATTTAAAAAATATTTTACCTGGGTAAAGTTGTTAAAGAAATGTCTGCTTGGAAAAAGAGGAAACATATTTTAGTAAACAGCCTGTTAAACATTAGGTCGAATATTCTACTTTCAAGATACATGTTTCTAAACCTTTGCATATTCTCTTTATATTTCATTACGGTATATAAAATTAAAGGCTAAATGTAAAAACAAAAAATCACATGTCTATTTATTTATCAATATCGTTACTGATTCTCATTTGTCATCACAGAAGGCTGAGTGGCTTAAATCTGCATGCTTCCTGCCTCAATAACATCACCAAAACCGCTCACGCTAAGATTAATAATGACCTTGAAGTTACGAAATGAATATTTCAAAGTCCTCATATGATTTTAACAAAAAGCATCATTTGTCCTTGTTGATCACTCTTTGCTTCTTGAAGTACCCTCCTTACCCTCTCCTGTTCATCCTCACACATTTCTAACCACTTTACAATCTCCACTGAATGCTCGTCTGCCAACAATAACCTGTTAAATGTTGAGGTTTCTTAATACTCAGTGCTAATCTATTTCTTTTCTCATTGATGCTCTCTCCCAGTAACCAGTACGGCCAATTTGCTAGCTTGCTTTAAAAAGTAATCCCTCCCTCATTTTTTTTTCTTGCTATACATATATCTAACTACGTGTTTGCTTGAGAATTCCAAAGGCTAATCTTAAAGCAACTCAGGCGTAAAGTGGAGATGGCAGTTAAAGTTTTCTCCCTTCTGAGAAGAAATTGGTGCACAGTTAATCCATACCCTGACCTAAGCAAGTTGACACCAAGGCCTCCAGAGGGTTCATTATTCAAGACAGCCACTGGAAAATGACAAGCAGACCTGCAACCTACATCACTCCTGCACATAGTTTCCATGCCGCCTTCCTCTTCAAACCCCATTAGCCAGCCTGAGAATTTGAGATGGCTTTTTGAGACCTGACTCCAGCTGTCTCTTCAGCTGCTAGCACTTCAATAAACCTCTTTCTTTCCACCAAAAAAAAAAAAAAAAAAAAAAAAAAAAAAATCTGCATGCTTCCTTAATACTGCAAGTTCACAGAATCAAAACTTCATGATTAATCTTCTTTAAAATGTTGATATTGTCATTCTGCATAAAAAACCCTACAGTCTTTACATGTTATAATTTATGTCAAACAGAAATTTGTCTTTTAGCATGACAAATCCTTCCCTCACCAGCCCTGAAAGGAATAACAGGCCGGGCCTGGTGGCTCACACCTGTAATCCCAGCACTTTGGGAGCCCGAGGCAGGAGGACTGCTTGAGCCCAGGAGTTTGAGACCAGCCTGGGACACATAGTAAGAACGTGTCTCTATTTTTAATTATAAAATAAAAAAGGACTAATATTCATTTGTATGTTTAGTTGTATGTTTTCTAGAAAGTTTTTTTCACTGTAAAGTTACCTGCATATTTTTAGCATTTATCATCTCTAAAAGTCAGTGCCTCATGACTATGTCCTTCCATTTGCTGATTACTGCAGTGTCTAGTACATTATCATGCACAAAACAAAATGAAAATGTTTTGGGAATCAGTAAATGAGTATGCAGTGAGTTTCTGAGACCATATAATGAATATTCTATTTCATGTGTTCAATCTGATATGTTAGAAAGCTGCTGAAAATAGCTACTATATATCTTAATAGGTAAACTATGCCCAGAGTTCAACACAGTCCAAGGTTGATTAAAAAGACCCCGGCTCCAGGGCTGATACCTTCTGCCTTGTGTTATGCTTACTTGTCAGAGGCACAGGGAAGAAGAACTGAGTCACTGAGTGAGTTACCAGCGTATCTGGAAGGAAAATTTGAAGGCAAAAGGAAATACTTGTCGATAATAAAAGAAAGGCTTTCGTATTAATACAGTAACCTTGTAGAGAAGGAATCAGTATCAGCTGACATTAAAGTGACAGTCTGAATTTCCATGGAAAGACAATATTAGCAGCATTCTTCTGGGTCTTTATCAGTTTTCTTGGCTTTCTTGAGTTAGTGCACAGGCTGAAGTGTAGAGTTGAGAATAAGACCGAAGAGAAAACCCTGGATTGAATTGACATTTAAGGTAAGGACAGATGACAGAAAGCCAAAGGAAAAGACTGGGAAAAAACCATTATGGAAATAGAACATAGTGGTATTAGGGAGTGAAGGAATGAAAGAGTTTCAAAAAGAAAGTGATTCTCAGAATTAAATGTGGTATAGAAATTAAGTATTACAGTAAGAGGATCAAAAAAATCCCATCGAATTTGGCAATTACCTTCAGTGACTTTGCCACAGCAGTTTCAGAAGACAGAGAGATAGTAGTGGGATACAGTGATGAAACAGAAAAATGTCACAGTGAACTTGGGAAGACTAGTTTCAGCACAACTCCATGGATCCTTTTCCCTTTTTATTAACTCTTGAGAGACAGAGAAAGAAGAAAGCAAGAGAGTTTGGATGTTAACATGATAATTGTTCATGAATTCTTTCTAGTGTCAGAACTCTGGTTTGGGGGCAGAGTCAATAGGTGTCGAGAGCCTGGGGAAAGAGGCAGTGCTTAGAAGGGTCCTGTACTCTACAGTATTTATCTTGAAATTGTTAACAAATTTATCTTTGAAATTATGTTTTGTAAGCGAAGTGTGATGAGACAATGAAGCATGCACTGGGGACGAGGGGTTTTGGCTCCCGTACAGTCCCGCCTCCTGCTGCCTCTCTGCCTCCCTGGGATGGATTATTTACCCCTGATTCCCCTCCATGCTCTGGCACCTTGGGTCCTGACCAGCCTTCCCCTCCTTAATCCCTGTCCCACAAGCTGCTTCTGTCTTTGACCTGGGTGAGGGCCTAGGCTCAGGTGTTGGGGGATTGTCGGGGTAGGGCAACTGCACGCTGCAGTGTCCTGGAGTAAGGCACGTTAGCGGCTGTCCCATGCTGGCTGGCAGCACCATGGCATAATGATGGTGATGATGGCGTGGCTTACTCATCTTGGCAGGAGTAAACCTCTTGCCTCCCCCTAATCCAGGTATCTAGCATGGCCCAGTGTAGAGGCTGCAATACCCTCGGGGGTTGAGGTGGGAGGCCCATGAAGGGAAGCTACACGGCTTGACTACCTCAGACCCCTCCACTGGCTGGGCATGATGTGTAGGTCTATTGAGAAGGGAAATATGGCGGCTGGTGGGCTGTGCACATGTTGAACCACCCACCAGGTGACTAGAAGGGTCTGTACCTGGCCCATAAGTATTCCACATGCTGAACCACCCACCAGGTGATTACGAGGGTCTGCACCTGGCCCACAACTATTCCACATGCTGAACCACCCACCAGGTGACTACGAGGGTCTGTATGTGGCCCACGAGTATTCCACACGCTGAACCACCCACCAGGTGACTACGAGGGTCTGTACCTGGCCCACGAGTATTCCATATGCTGAACCACCCACCAGGTGACTACGAGCGTCTGTACCTGGCCCACGAGTACCCCACATGCTGAACCACCCACCAGGTGACTACGAGGGTCTACACATGGCCCACGAGTACTCCACATGCTGGACCACCCACCAGGTGACTACGAGGGTCTACACCTGGCCCACGAGTACTCCACATGCTGGACCACCCACCAGGTGACTACGAGGGTCTACACCTGGCCCACGAGTACTCTACATGCTGGACCACCCACCAGGTGACTACGAGGGTCTACACCTGGCCCACGAGTACTCCACATGCTGGACCACCCACCAGGTGACTACGAGAGTCTACACCTGGCCCACGAGTACTCCACATGCTGGACCACCCAGCAGGTGACTACGAGGGTCTATACCTGGCCCACGAGTACTCCACATGCTGGACCACCCACCAGGTGACTACGAGGGTCTACACCTGACCCACGAGTACTCCACATGCTGGACCACCCACCAGGTGACTACGAGGGTCTACACCTGGCCCACGAGTACTCCACATGCTGGACCACCCACCAGGTGACTACGAGGGTCTACACCTGGCCCACGAGTACCCCACATGCTGGACCACCCACCAGGTGACTACAAGGGTCTGTACCTGGCCCACGAGTATTCCACACGCTGAACCACCCACCACGTGACTACGAGGGTCTGTACCTGGCCCACGAGTACCCCACATGCTGAACCACCCACCAGGTGACTACAAGGGTCTGTACCTGGCCCACGAGTACCCCACATGCTGAACCACCCACCAGGTGACTACGAGGGTCTACACTTGGCCCACGAGTACTCCTTGTCTAAGGGAGCATGATGTTAAATTGCAAATAAAAAACACCATGACAGGTAGTGAGAGTGACTAAAGGAGAAAAAAGCTTTATATTTGATATCTTTAACAGTATTTCCCCCCTGCTTTCTGAGCAAGAGACCCCCACACTTTCATTTTACACCAGGCCTCACAAATTTATGTAGCCAATTTTGGATGTAATGATGCAGAAATGGCAGAAGAGTATAGCAATTACCTCTGGGTAAAAGGATTTTAGGGATTACAAAATTTAGATAGAGGCCTGGTGTGGTGGCTCCCAGTGCTTTTGGAGGCCAAGGCAGGAGGATTGCTTGAGGCCAACAGCTTGAGACTACCTTGGGCAACAAAGTGAAACCCTGTCTGTACAAGAAAAAAAAAAAAGATGGAGCACAGTGGTGTGTGCCTGTAGTCCCAGGTATTCAGGAGGTAGAGGTGGGAGGAGTGCCTGACACCAAGAGTTTGAGGTTACGTGAGCTACGATTGCACTACTGCACTCCAGCCTGGGTGACAGGACAAGATCCTATCTCAAAAAAAAAAAAACAAAAAAAACAAAATTTAGACATGGATAATGAGATAATTAGTGAACTGAATGAAACACTTAAAAAATAACCAAGAATGAATCACAACGAGACAGAAAGATGGAAAAAGTTAACAAGATTTTAAGAGTCAGGAAGGACAGAATTAAAAGGTGATATACATTTCTCTTAAGAAAATCTAGAAAGAAAAAAAAAGAATAAGGGAGAACGAATATTTAAAAAGATAGGCCAGGCACAGCCACTCATGCCTGTAATCCCAGCACTTTGTGAGGCTTAGGTGGGTGGATCACCAAGGTCAGGAGTTCGAGACTAGCTTGGCCAACATGATGAAACCCCATCTCTACTAAAAATACAAAAATTGGCCAGGTGTGGTGGTGGGTGCCTGTAATTCCAGCTGCTAGGGAGGCTGAGGCAGGAGAATCACTTGAACCCATGAGGCAGAAGTTGCAGTGAGCTGAGATCATGCCACCTTTCTCCAGCCTGGGCAACAGAGTGAGACTCTGTCTCAAAAAAAAAGAAAAAAAAAGAAAAAGAAAAAAGACAATGTGAATTTTCCAGAATTGATGAAAGACACCAATATTCAGATTCAGGAACTGCAATACATCTCAAAAGAAATATACAATAGTAAAACACCAAAGATAAGGCAAGATCTTAAAACGACCACAGAGAAAATATAGATTACCTAAAATGGAAAAACCATTTGAAAGACAGCCGACTTACCAACTGAAGTCGAAGCTAGACACAAGAAAAAATAATTTTAAAGCACTGAGAGAAAACAGCAAGCAACCTATAATCATATTCCCAGAGAAATGACTTTTCCAGAGTGAGGATAAAATAAAGATATTTTCAGAGGCATGAATACTGAGAAATTTAATCACTAAGAAATCTTCCCTAAAGGAACCGTTAAAGGATATACTTCAGGAAGAGAAGGTAATATGAGAAAACATGTCTGAGAATATAAGCATTGTTGAGCAAAGAAATGATAGGTCTGTGGATAAATCCAAATAAATATTGACTGAAAAATGTCCAATATGAAGGATAAACAAACAACTAGAAAGCACCAAAATGATGGTAAGGAGTAAGCCATAAACCGGGAAGGGAATATTTGGAGGTAAAATTCCTACTAATTCTAAAGTTTGCAACACCAATTACAATTGCACCAAAAACATAAAATACTTTAAAATAAATTTAACAGAAGATGCATAAGACCGCTCATCTGAAGCCTACATGGTTGTATCACTTTGCATTCCCACCAGTAATGAAAGACAGTTGTTACTGGTTCATGTCCTCACCAGAAGTGGGTGTTATCAGTGTTTCTCTTCTTCAATATTGTGTTGGCTATTCGGAGTCTTTTGCTTCTCCATATACGGTCTAGGATGTGTTTATTGATATTTATAAAATAACTTGCTGGGATTTTGATTGGGATTGCATTGAATGTATAAATCAAGTTGGGAAGAGTTGGAGTGGGGTGGGTACTTCTACTATCACTTGTTAAGATTTAAAAAATACAGTTATAGTGATAAGGATAATGTAGTTTTGTTCAAGTATGGACAAATAGATCAGCTGAACAGAACAGCCAGCCCAGAGAAACACCCATGCATATATGGAAAATTGATATGTGAAAGAGAAGATATTCTGGATAAATAGATTATGCATTAAATAAGTATGAGAAAATTAATTATTCATGTAGAAAAAATAAAGTGAATTCCTATTCTAAGCTTGTACAAAAACTGATTCCAGGTGGATTAAAGACCTAATTTTAGAAGAAAAAAACATATAAAACTTTTAGAAAACAATATAGGAGAAATCCTTATGATCTTGAAAGTAGGAAAAGATTTCTTAAATAGATTTTAAAAGGCATAAACCCACAAAGGAAAGGATTAATAAATTTATCCACAATACTAAAGACCTCTCTGATCAATAGGAGTCATGGAAAGTAAAAATCTACATAAACTGGGACAGAATACTTTCAATACATATATAAGTGATAATGGAGTAGTAATTAAGACATATAATGAAATACTGTAAATTATTATGAAAATAAAAATAACTCAAAAGTGGATCAAAATACTTATTGAATAGGAAAGAGAAGAAAAATTCCTGCTGAACAGATAAAAAACACTCAACGCATCAGTAATCAGTAAAATGTAAAGAAAAATACAATGACATAATTTCGTACCTAGTAGACTGGAAAAATTAAAAAGTCAGACAATTTTAAGTGTTGGTGAGGATATAGCAAAATGGAAACTTTCACGTACTACTAGTGTGGATATAAAATTGGACAATCTTTCAAAAGTTACTTAGGCATCACCCAGTAAAGTTGAACAAATGCACATCCTACTTTTAGGCAATTGTACTTTTAGGTCTCTACCTTAGAGAAACCTTCATTTATATGCATTAAATCAGTACTACTTCTCCAACTATAATGCACATGTAAATTACTATAGAATCTTCTTAAAGTGCATATTATTATCCCATAGGTCTGGAATGAGGCCTGACGTTCTTCACTTCTAATAAATTTCCAGGTGATGTCAGTGCTGCTGATCCTCAGATTACATTTTAAGTAGCAAGATACTATGAGGTATATTCAGGATCATTCACAGCATCATTTGTAGTTGCAAATAAATGCATCAGCAGAATGAACAGAGTCATACAATGAAATACCATAGAGCAGTCACAATGAAGGAACTAAAGATTCTTATTTAAACATGTGTAAGTCTCAAAAACATAATTTTTAGAGAAGCAACTCATGGAAGAATACTTATCATATGATTCAATTTAAACAATGTTCAAGAACTGACAAAACTAAACAATTTATTATAATCAAATATAGTCGCTAAACTAAAAGAAAAAAGCAAGGAATCATTCATTATATAATATTTAGGATAAAATAACAAAAAGACAAAAAACAATATCCAGGATAGTGTCTAACTCTTGCAGGGTGAATAGAATGTGATTGGTAGCGCATAAAGAGGTGTGATGTTCTATTTCTTGATTTGGGTAATGCATATGTGGGTACTGATTTCATTACTATCCTTTTTATTCTTTATGTACTCTTTCTAGCCATTAATTATTATTATTTTGTTTTTATTTTTATTTTTTCTAGAGATGGGGTCTCACTCTGTCATGGAGGCTGGAGTGCAGTGGCGCAATCATAGCTCACGGTAGCTTTAAACTCCTGGGCTCAAGCGAACCTCCTACCTCAGCCTCACAAGTAGTTGGAACTACAGATGCAAGTCATCATGCCTGACAACTTTTTAACGTTTTTTGTAGAGACAAGTCTTGCTATGTTTCCCAGGATGGTCTTGAACTCCTGGGCTCAAGTGATCCTCCCACCTCAGCCTCCTAAGTCGTTGGGACTACAGATGCAAGTCACTATGCCTGGCAAATTTTTTATATTTTTTGTAGAGACAAGTCTTGCTATGTTTCCCAGACTGGTCTTGAACCCCTGGGCTCAAGCAATCCTCTCACCTTGGCCTCCCAAAACATTGAGATTACAAGCATGAGCCACAATGCTAGGCCTCATTATTATTCTTTAATTGATATTTTTACAGGTGACAGACTGAAAATTCTTACAATATATATTACAGAAAAACTCTTAGCCCCTACGGAGTTCTCTCTTTTGGACTAACCTGCCCCCTGGATAGGTGCTTTTCCTTCTGTTCTTATTTACATGGAGAAAACATGTCTAGATCAGGGTAGCCTGGAGGCCCACTTCTTTCAGCCCTAGCTCTTAGGTCTTAATGTGTGTAAATGAAATTGGTAACCCATTCAGTGCTTCTTGGCAGATGTCCTAGTTTGGGCTGCTATAACAAAAATACCATAGACTGGGTGGCTTTAACAACAAACCTTTATTTCTCATAGTTCTGGAGGCTGCAAAGTCCAAAGATCAAGGTGCTATCTTCTCACTGGGTCCTCGCATGGCGGAAGGGAAAAAGGAACTCTTTGGGCTCTCTTTTGTACGAGCACTAATCTCATTCATAAGGACTGTACCCTCATGACCTAACCACTTCCCAAAGGCGTGACCTTCAGATACCATCACATCGGGGATTAGGTTTCAGCATAAAAATTTGGGGGTAAATGGGGTGGGACACAAACATACAGTCTTATGGCAACAGATTATCTTCTCTGATGGTTCCCAAGAGCTCTACTTGGGAGAAGAGAAAGTAGCCCATTTGGCCAAAGGGGCAGGTCCTTTTTTACAATTCAGCTCTACCAGGAATATTTTATTTTTATTTGTTTATTTATTTATTTTGAGATGGAGTTTTGCTCTTGCTGCCAAGGCTGAAATGCAGTGGTGCAATCTCAGCTCACTGCAACCTCCGCCTCCCAGGTTCAAGTGATTCTCCTCCCTCAGCCTCCCGAGTAGCTGGGATTACAGGCGCCCGCCACCACATCTGGCTAATTCTTTTTGTATTTTTAATAGAGATGGGATTTCACCATGTTGGCCAGGCTGGTCTTGAACTCCTGACTTCAGGTCCACCTGCCCTGGCCTCCCAAAATGCTGGGATTACAGGTGTGAGCCACTGTGCCTGGCCTATTATTTTATTTTATGAGACAGAGTCTCATTCTGTCACCATGCCAGAGTACAGTGGTGTAATTATAGCTCACCGTAACCTTGACACAGTAACTTCAAATTTCTGGGGTCAAGTGATTCTCCTAACTCAGCCTCCTGCGTAGCTGGGACTACAGGCATGAGCCACTGCGCCAGGGCTCTACCAGGACTTGTTATCCCCAAATTTGCCCTTGTCCATTTCTCAACTGGTTCAGAACCCATAGAGGAAAAGCTGGGGACTGGGATTTCTGAAAGTGCCAACAAGGACAGAAGCCTGCCGGTTTCATGAGTAGCAGAGACTCAATCCTCCCTGCTTCTCAATAAGACTCCGGGAAAGTGGCAGTGAGTGAGAGAGGACTGGGTTAATGTGTACTCCTGGTGGGGCTTGCTGAAACCTCGGTATTATTAGGACTTACAATCTAGCTCAGGATGTCCAATCCAAAAATTCCACATAAACTGCAGAACCATCTGACTTTAAGGGACTACGTGGACCAGGACAATAAAACTATCAGCAACAACCATGCTTTACTGAAGACATGAGTATTCTGATTGGTTCTGCCTGGATCGTGTATGTGCCAATCCTCAACTAATAACTGTAACCAAGGAAATGTGGGTTTGTAGTTAGACCATATACGTCACACAAAATTAACAATATTATCACAGAATACGGAGGAATAGTTTCCCCAAGGGAATAAACGTGAAGTGGATACAAAGAAATAAGTATTTTCCAGGCATCTTGGGGTCAGGATCCACATACTACAGTTCCTTATGTCCTACACGGTGCCTGGGATGTTGCCGAGACTATGATGCTAAAGCATATTCCGAATCACTGATACTTTTTTAACTTATTGAATGATTTTTATGCAGTTAATTATGTAGTTATGTACCACTTTTTCCCTCCTTATATTCAGCTACCTTCATTTTGTCATGAGTTTGAAAAGCTATCCAATACAAAGAAGGTATTTTTGAAATGCATATAATAGAAGAGCCCTCTGGATTGAAAAACCAGGGTCAAATCTCAATGCTATCTTTTAGTAGCTTTGTACTTTTTCCAAATTGTTTAACCCATCCATGCTTATGTTTCCACAACTATAAAGACTTACATTTGTGTGGTTATTATAAAAATTAAGAAAGAATTTATATTAAAGCACAAACATGTAGACACAGCATGTGCTCAAATAGTGGTTGCTCTTATTTTTACTGTTTGTTCTTCAGTATTTCTTCGGCAGTATATTTGAGAATAGCTTGGTTGGTGAATGAAAGTTGTATGGAAACCGTAATATAGATAATCTATTTGTGGCTAATTAAAAGTTGAAGCTAAATACTCTTTAAAAGCATAATTACCTATTCAGTACTGCATTACTTACCTAACTCTATAGTACCACAGAAAGCAAGTATGAGAACTTTCCACAAATAAATAGCGTTCTTCTTCATCCTAAAAGAAAATGCAAAAGAAACTGTGATATATTAACATTAAATCAAATGCAAATATGGATATAGCCACAGAAGTCACAGAGGAAGTAAGTTACTTATCCACGATCAGAGGAAGCAGAATAAAGTTCAGAATAGAATTTAAATATATATTTAAATATTTATATATTGCCATCTTTATCATTTTTATTACATTTGTCTTCCTCACTGAAATACAATTCAAAAAATGTTCTCATTCACTGGGGTAATTTTGCTCCCCAGGGACTTTTGGCAATGCCCAAAGATGCTTTCGGTTGTTACAACTGAGTGCTTTTCAAAAGTCAGATGTGGCCTGGCGCAGTGGCTCACACCTGTAATCCCAGCACTTTGGGAGGCCGAGGTGGGTGGATCACCTGTGGTGAGAAGTTCGAGACCAGCCTGACCAACATGGTGAAACCCCATCTCTGCTCAAAATACAACATTAGCTGGGTGTGGTGGCACATGCCTGTAATCCCAGCTACTTCGGAGGCTGAGGCAGAAGAATCGCTTGAACCCAGGAGGCGGAGGATGCGGTGAGCCTAGATTGCACCATTGCACTCCAGCCTGGGCAATAAGAGTGAAACTCCATCTCAAGGGGAAAAAAAACAAAAAACAAAAGGAAAGGGAGTCCCTTACTTCCTCATAAATCTTTTTTTTTTTTTTTTTTTTTTTTTGAGACGAAGTTTGGCTCTTGTCCCCCAGGCTGGAGTACAATGGTGCAATCTTGGCTCACTGCAACTTCCACCTCCCGGGTTCGAGCGATTCTCCTGCCTCAGCCTCCTGAGTAGCTGGGATTACAGGTGCCTGCCACCACACCCGGCTACTTTTTGTATTTTTAGCAGAGACGGGGTTTCACTATGTTGGCCAGGTTGGTCTTGAACTTCTGACCTCAGGTGATCTGCCCACCTCCCAAAGTGCTGGGATCACAGGCGTGAGCCACCGCGCCCGGCATGAATTGTGTTCTTGAAATTGGCAAATACTCATAGACTCAAAGAGACAAATTCAAATATGTTTCACATCATAAGGATTGAAAAATGAATAAATATTCATCTGGCTTCTCCCACATCGCTCTGTCTACTTGTGCCTTGACAATAAAGCTTTTTAATTAAAGAGAAGTCACAAGCCTCAAAGTAAAGGCAGGATTGGTGACATGGTATCTGTAGAACTGCAGCTTCAGGCACACTTGTGTGGGAACATCAGCTGTGCAGTATGTAGCCAGTATTTTGTTACTAATTACTAAAATGCCAGTGTATTAAAATGCTTTACTTTGCCTTTGGGTGTTTTTGGTAAACTAGAGACGTTCAACCTCATTCTAATTCATTTGCATTCTCATGTTTTCTTCAGTTGAAGAAAATGCAGTGGAGTAAAATAAATCTGCTAGAAATTACTCTTAATCTCAGCATTGTCACAGGGGTGTATGACAGGAGACCCACTAATCTGAGAGTCCTATTATCATTAAGGTGGTGGCTATGAACTTTAACATACTTAGTAATAAAAAGACTAAGATAAAAATTGTATATAATTTTATAATTTAGAATTTAACATGAGATATATCTAAAAATTGACATACAATAACTTTAAAATAGGGCTTGTTTATAGTTAACAATTAATACTATTTAAAACAGGTTAAATTAGATTGAAAAGCTCAAAAGAAAGGCAAAATAAAATGTAACAGGATAACAGGATGATTATTCAAGATTTAATAACATATCATTAAAACAACTTACTGGGCCAGTAACAATTGGTTTTATAGCGTGAACACCAGGTGAGGAACAACGCAATTCTGTCGTGGGTGAGCTAGTGTTTAAAAAGATGAGAAAGAATAATTATAGGTGCATATGATATTAATAAAATTCCCTTACTATTTTTTAAGCCTAAAAATTTCAATTGTATGCTGATAAGAGATATTTTTAAATATTTGCAATATTTTACTTCTATACTATATTCGACCTGATTTTGTCTTGCTTTTCACATCTACTTAATGAAAGAAAATTTATATTAAATCACAGCCTTGAATCTCAATGTTCACATTATATGAATGAATTAAAAAATATACACATACATTGATATTCATGGCATAAATCTTACCTTTTATTTAGCACAAAACAAGTTTCTGGCACACTCCACTCAGTAAATAATGTTCCTTCATACTCTAACTTAATCTAAAAAAGAAAACAAGAGTTCGAACAAAAAATATCATTCAAACTTTTCACCTCAGGGTTCCGTTGTAGGATTCAATTTTCTGGGTCCTAATTATTTAAAGAAAGAATAACTAAAATTCAATTCCCTTTAAATTGTACAAAGTAATGTGACAAAGAAAAGGTAACTTAACCCATCTGGGACACTTAAGCAGTCACTCCAAAAAACTGTAAACCTTTAATTTTATTTACTTCAGCAATAATCCATTGGCCGGGTGCAGTGGCTCATGCCTGTAATCCTAGCACTTTGGGAGGCCGACGCAGGTGGATCACCTGAGGTCAGGAGTTTGAGACCAGTCTGGCCAACATGGTGAAACCCTGTCTCTACTAAAAATACAAAAATTAGCTGGGCGTGGTGGCACGCGCCTGTAATCCCTGCTACTCAGGAGGCTGAAGCAGGAGAATCGCTTGAACCTGGGAGGCAGAGGTTGCAGTGAGCCGACATCACGTCATTGTACTCCAGCCTGGGAGACAAGAGCGAAACTCCATCTCAAAAAAAAGAAAAGAAAAGAAATAATCTATTAAGTATCTAAGAAGGGACTGACACTCTGGTAGGTTCTGAGGATTAAAAAACAAAGACGAATGAGAAATGATCCTTCGCTTAAAAACAAGTCACTTTTAATTCTGAGATCCTATTATTTACACGTTACTGACTATTAACATAACTTTCATCTTTTTCTTATTTCTAAAGCTACTTTTTTCCCTGCCTCTCTATTCTTTCATTTAGAAATTCTTTCCCCTCCTGAAGTATACCAATTCACTTTCTAACATTGTCAGTCTTAGTTTTAACACTGATCCTCTTCTTCAGCCAGAGTTGTAACTCAATTTTACCTTCTAATATTTGTGACACAAAATTATATACACATACATAATATATGAAGATTGCTTTGGTGTTTTAACTCGGAAAATGGAGATTATAACTGGTGGTAAACCGTTTCATAGATTTGATATTATAGGATAGTGTATAAGAAGAAAAAAGAGAAAAATTCATGAGAAGATACAACATAACTTTAAAATATAATAAGCAAAATTTGATAGAACTGCTACAAGAAATTTCAAAAGCCATAAATATAGTGGTAGATTTTATAATACATTTTTCTCAAACTAAATAAACTTGGGGAGGGGAGGGAAAGGTAGTCAAAGACTTAAAAAATATAATTAGTAAGTTTATGATATATATGTTAAAACTATATACATTCCTAAAGTTTTTTCTTTTTACTTTTCTTTAATAGAGACAGGATCTCACTGTGTTGACCAGGCTTGTCTCAAACTCATGGCCTCAAGCAGTCCTCCTACCTCAGCGTCCCAAAGTGCTGGGATTACAGGCATAAGCCACTGTACCCGGCCCCTAAAATTAAGCAATATAAAATATATACATCATTTGCAAGCTCACATAGAACAATTACCAAAACTGACCACATTTACAAGGAAAGTTGTAACCAATCTTGAAGAGTTACTATCACATATACAATGCCCTTTGATATTAGTGAAATAAAATTAGAATTTCTCATAAAGTTAGCCAGAAAAAAATCCTAAGATATTTGGAGTCTTTAAAAAAACAAACAAACAAAAAACTGTACTTCTAAATGATTCATAAGCAAAAGTCATAAAGTATAAAATGTTTATGAATAAACAGTAAAAGCATTTAATATTATAAAAATTTGTGGTATGGCCGGGTGTGGTGGCTCACGCCTGTAATTCCAGCACTTTGGGAGGCTGAGGCAGGCAGATCACGAGGTCAGGAGATCGAGACCATCCTGGCCAACATGGTGAAACCCCATCTCTACTAAAAATACAAAAATAAGCTAGGCGTGGTGGTGCGCACCTGTAATCCCAGCTACTCAGGAGGCTGAGGCAGGAGAATCGCTTCAGCCAGGGAGTCAGAGATTGCAGTGAGCTGAGATCGCGCCACTGCACTCTAGCCTGGCGACGGAGTGAGACTCCGTCTCAAAAAAAAAAAAAAAAAATTGTGGCCAGGTGCAGTGGCTCACACCTGTAATCCCAGCACTTTGGGAGGCCAAGGCAGGTAGCTCACTTGAGGCCAGGAGTTCGAGACCAGTCTGGCCAACATAGTGAAACCCTGTCTCTACTAAAAATACAAAAATTGCCCAGGCATGGTGGCACATACCTGTAATCTCAGCTACTCAGGAGGCTGAGGCAGGAGAATCCCTTGAACCCAGGAGAAGGAGGTTGCAGTGAGCCGAGATCATACCACTGCACTCCAGCCTGGGCAACAGAGTGAGACAGAAAAAAAAAAAAAGTCTCTAGATAAGATAATTTGAAAGTGAATAAACTCTGTTTTCAGTGTAAGATGATAATAAAAGGACAACAGAGAAAATCTCCCCAAATAAAAGGAAGGATATAAGAAAGAGAAAAAATAGAAATTTATAAAACAAATGAAAGGGCATTGGGAAGGGGCTTTGGGGATGTAGTTTTAAAAATTTATTTAAATTTCCTAATAAACACAGAAAGAACAATTAGGATAGTCCCCAAAAGCACTGGACAATAATCAATAATAAAACTCACTTAAGCCCAGGAGTTCAAGACCAGCCTGAGCAACATAGGGAGACCCCTCTCTATAAAAAATTAAAAAATTAGCTGGGTGTGGTGGCACACACCTGTAGTCCCAGCTACTTGGGAGGCTGAGGTGGGAGGATCGCTTGAGTCCAGGAGTTAAAGGCTGCAGTGAACTGTGACTGCATCACTTCACTCTAGCCTGGATGACAGAGCAAGACCAAAACCCTGTCTCCAAAAAAAAAAAAAAAAAGAAGAAGAAAAAAAAGAAGGGATTAAAAAATGATTAAGTGATTTAAGACTAAGCAACAAATATGAAAGATAGGCACAGAAAATCCAATATACATATATCCAGAGATCCTGAAGAGGAAAACCAAAATGTTTGGAACAGAGCAATAACAGTAAATATAATCAAAGAACAATATAATCAAATATTTGATAATAAAAACAATATAATCAAATATTTGATCAAATATAATCAAAGAACAATTATAGAATATAGTAATATTCTATAATTAAAGAATAATACATGAAATTGAAAAATTGGAATGAACATAGAAGAAGATCATTGAAAATAGAATAAAATCATTGACTAAAAAATATGGGAGAGAATGAAAAAGGAAAGTAGAATAAGATCATTGCCTGGTTGTTAAGCAGTAAACTGAGTGCGGTGGCTCACGCCTATAATCCCAGTACTTTGGAAGCTGAGGTGGGCAGATCATGAGATCACAAGTTCGAGACCACCCTGGCCAACATGGTAAAAACCCCGTCTCTACTAAAAATACAAAAAAATTAGCCAGGCTTGGTGGTGGGCGCCTGTAATCCCAGCTACTCAGGAGGCTCAGGCAAGAGAATTGCTTGAACCTGGGAGTCGGAGGTTGCAGTGAGTCGAGATCACGCCATTGCAATCCAGTCTGGGTGACAGGGCGGGACTCCATCTCAAAAACAAAAAAAAAGCAAAAAAAAGAAAGAAACCAGGCAGTAAAAGAGTAAATAAAAGAGCAGGGCACCAAAGATGTTCGAAAGGTATAAGCACAAAGGTAGCCACTAAAACAAAAATACAAACGTTTCTAAATATAGAAAGATAATTTTTTTAAAGAAAAGAATCCAACAGAGAAAGAAACAGTAAATACAACACACCTAAGATAAACTAATATGAGAATTGAGACCAAAGATATGTTATATAATTAAATGTGAATGGGCTTAACTCACACAGCAAGACCCAATACATGCTGTTCGAAAGAAATACCAGAAGAAAAAAGTGACCCAGAAAGACTAAAGTAATGAGAGAAGACCTCGGTGACTTTGGGTTTGCCAACAACTTCTTAGATACATCACAAAAAGCACAAATCAAAAAAAAAGGTTGATAAATTGGACTTCATTAAAATTAAAAACTTCTGCTCTGTAAAAGACACTGTTAAGAGAATGAAAAGACAAGCAACAGACTGGGAGAAAATATTTGCAAAGTTACTCATATCTGATAAAAGATGGTATCCAGAATACACAAAAAAACTCTTAAAACTCAACAACAAGGAAACGAAAACCCATCTTTAAAAATGGGCAAAAGATCTGAACAGGCACCTCACCAAAGATAATATACAGGTGACAAAGATATGAAAAGACTCTCCACATCGTATGTCATTAGGGAACTGCAAATTAAAGCAACGAGATACCACAACACACCTATTGGAATTGCAAAAATCCAAAACACTAACAACGCCAAATGCTGGTGAAGATGTGGAGCAACAGCACTGTCATTCATTGCTGGTGACAATGTAGAACGGTACAGCCATCTTGGAGGACAGTTTGGCAATTTCTTACAAAACTAAACATACTCCTACCATATATCTAGCAATTGCACTTTTGGTATTCACCCAAATGGGGTCCACACGAAAACCTGTCCATGAATGTTTGCAGCAGCTTTATCTGTAATTGCCCAAACTGGAAGCAACTGGGATATCTTTCACTAGGTGAATGGATAAACTATAGTACATCCAGACAATAGAGTATTACTCAGTGCTAAAATGAAACGAGCTATCAAGCCATGAAAAGGCATGGAGGAAACTTAAATGTGTATTGTTAAGTGAAAGAAGCCAATCTGAAAAGGCTACATACTGTTTGATTCCCACTAAATGACATTCTGGAAAAGGCAAAACTATGGAGACAGTTAAAAGATCAGTGTTGTAAGGGGCTGGGGAGGGGGAGGATTGAAAAGGCAGAGCAGAGAGAATTTTTAGGGCAGTGAAACTATTCGGTGTGATACTATAATGGTAGAAACATGTCATTAAACATTTGTCCATGCTCACATAATGTACAACACAAAGAGTGAACACTAATGTAAATTACAGATTATAGTTAATAATGATGTATCAATATTGGCTCATCAATTGTAAGAAATGTAGCACACTAATGCAAGATGTCAGTAATAGGGCAAACTGGGGAGGTTTTATGGGATCTCTCTATACTGTTTGCCCATTTTTCTATGAACCTAAAACTGCTCTAAAAATAAAGTCTGTTAACTCTTAAAAAATTTTTTAAAAGCCATGGGCAAAGGTATACCAGGAAAATGGTCCTGTCAAAAAAAAATCAATATAAAAGCAGGAATTGTGACTCTGATATTAGATAAGGTAGAATTCAAGCCAAAATGTATTCAATATGCAGAACAATGAGAACTCTCCTCTGCTGCTCATGGGAATGCAAATGGTACACCTACTTCAAACAACAGTCGTGGGCCAGGTGCAGTGGCTCATGCCTGTAATCCTAGCACTTTCAGAGGCTGAGATGGGAGGACTGCTTGAGCTCAGGAGTTTGAGACCAGCCAGGGCAACATAGTAAGACCTTGTCTCTAATAAAAATAAAATAAAATTAGCTGGGTGTGGTGGTGCATGCCTGCAGTCCCAGCTACTCAGGAGGCTGAGGCGGAAGGATCACTTGAGTCCAGGAGTTTGAGGTTGCAGTGAGCCATGATCGTGCCACACACACCACGCTAGGCAACAGAGTTAGAGTCTGTCTCAGAAAAGAAAAGAAAAAGAAGAAAACTGTTGTGTAGTTTCTTATTTGCTATAAACATATCATTGCCTTATAACACAGTAATCCCATTCCTAGGTATTTAACCAAAATAAAAATATATGTCCCCACATATGTACATGAATGTCCACAGCAGTTTCATCTGAAATAGCTCTAAGTTGGAAATAACCCAAATGGCCATCAACAAGAGAATGGACAAATGGTGGCATAAGAATGCAAATGAATACTCAGCAATAAAAAGGAATGAAGTTCTCATATATGCAACATTATGGATGAATCTGAAAGCACTAAGCCAAGTGAAAGAAAACTGACCCCAAAAGACTATATATAGTATGGTTTTGTTTCTATGACTATCTAGAAAATGCAAAACTATAGGATCAGGAAATAGATTCGTGGCTGCCAATGGCTGAGATGGGGAAGGTAAAGCATGACTGCAAAGGGCATGATGAAACTTTTTGGGGTGAGGTAAATGTTGTATATCTTCATTATTACGGTGATAACGCAACTGTATGCATTGCCAAAGGTCATCAAACTATATGCTTAAAAGGAGTAAATTTCATTGTATGTAATTACCTCAATTAATTTGCCTTTTACAAAAGGAACTAAAGAAATATATAATCATAATGTATAAACCTTATCTGGATCTTGATTTACATAAACAAACAGAAAATGACATTTATATGACAACTGGTCATTTGAATACTGACTAGATATTTGATGACATTAAGGAATGATTATTAATTTTTAGGTGTGCTAATTAGTATTACGGTTATGGTTTTTTAAACAACTTTGAGATATAATTCACGTCATACAATTCATTCATTTAAAGTGTACAATGGTTTTTAGTATCTTCATATACTTCTGCAACTATTACTGTAATCGATTTTAGAACATATTCAACACTCCACAAAAAAACTGCCACACTCCTCGGAGGTTACCACCCCAGCCCTATCTCCCAGCCCTAGGCAGGCACTAACTTACTTTCTGTCTCTATACATTTGCCTATTCTGGACATTTCATGTGAATGAAATCATACAACATGTGGTCCTTTGTGAAAGGTTTCTTGCACTTAGCATAATGTTTTCAAGGCTTTTCTATATTGTAGCACATAAAAGTACTTCATTCATTTTTATTGACAAGTAATGTTCCATTATATAAACATACTACATTTTATTTATCCTTTCCTTAGTTGATGAACATTTGCATTGTTTGCACTTGGGGGCTATTATGAATAATGCTTCTGTGAACATTCATGTACTAGTTTTTGTGTGGACATTATATTTTCATTTCTCTTGGATGTAAAACTGGAAGTGCAATCTTCAGAACATATTGGTAACACTATGTTTAACTGTTTGAAGAGCTACAAGGCTGTCTTCTAAAGTGCCTGCACCATTTGACATTTGACAGCAATATAAGAGTTCCCATTTCTCTACATCCCCACGAACACTTGTTATTATCTGTCTTTTTGATTATAGACATCTGAGCGGGTGCGAAGTAGTATCTTATTATGGTTTTGATTTCCATTTCCCTGATGGGGATGTGCTTATTGGCCATTTGGATATCTTCTTTGGAGAAATGACAATTCAGATCCTTTGCCCATTTAAAAAACTGGGTTGTATTTTTATTACCAAATTATATCAATAGTAGTTCTTTATATATCTAAAAACAAGTCCATAATAAGATACATGAATCACAAAATTTCTCTCCCATCCTGTGAATTGTCTTCACTTTCTTGATGATGTCCTTAGAAGCACAAAAGACTTTAATTTTGATGATGTCCAATTTATCTATTTTTTCTTTTGTTGCTTGTGCTTGTGAGCAACCATCACCTAATCCAAGGTCACGGATTTTCCCTTATGTTTTCTTCTATATGTTTTACAGTTTTAGCTCTTACATTTAGGTCTTTGATCCATTCAGAGTTATAATTTTGGGTGTGGTCTGAGGTGGGGTCCACATTCATTTTTTTCATGTAGGTATCTAGTTGTTTCAGTACCGTTCTTTTTCCATTCAATTCTCTTGGTATCATTATCAAAAATCAACTGACTGTAAATATGAGGTTTTATTTCTGAACTCTCAATTCTATCTCATTGATGTATATTCCTATCCTATGTCAGTACCAAAGTGTCTCAATTACTGCAGCTTTGTAGTAAGCTTAGTATTCAAATGACCAATTGTATAAACGTCAAGAACTGTGAGTCCTTCCACTTTTTCTGTTTCAAGACTGTTTTGTCTATTCTGGTACTCTTGAATTTCCATTTACAATTTCCTATGAATTGCCATAAGAAATTGTTAAGATAATTTATTAGTTCTAATAGTTTTTTGTTAGATTCCTTGGGCTTCCTATATAAAGGATCATGTCGTCTGCAAATAGAAATAGTTTATCTTCCCCTTTCCAAAGTGGATGCCTTTTAGTTCATTTTCTTGCATTATTGCCCTGGCTCTGGTCATTTTTAAAAAGAGTCTTATCATTTAAAGGTACACACTGAAATATGTATGGATGAAAGGATATGTATGGGATAGTTTCAAAATAATTCAGAAGGGAAGAAAGTGGGTGATAAAGTCAATGAAACAAGAATGGCCATGAGCTGTAATACTGGAGCTGAGTAATGGATATATAAGGACTTAATCTCCTTATATGTACTCCATACTTTTATGTACTTATATGTATTCCTTATATGTACTCCATACTTTTATGTATGTCTAAATTATACTAATTTATATATTTTATGTATATTTAAATGTTTTACTAATAAAAGTTTCAAAGATGTAAGTTCAAAACAGAGAACAAATTCTGTGGAAATTACCAAGCTTACATATAAACCTCCCCAATGATTAACTTAAATGTAGTCAAGTCCCTGCAGAAAGTTCCCACTATGCTTACCAACTTCATGTTTAAGTGACTTGGTATTATCTAAACAGAAAACTGATGCACTGTTTCAATTTACACAGAGTAGAGAAGGATTTTTTAGACATGCTTTTCATCAAGAAGAGTCACGGAAAATCTCTGGTATTCTGTACATTCAATATTTCCTTTCTCTCTCTCTCTGAAACAGGGTCTCATTGTGTCACCCAGGCTGGAGTGCAGTGGCATGATCATAGCTCACTGCAGCCTCTCCCTGCCAGGCTCAAGCAATTCTCCCACCTCAGCCGCCCAAGTAGCTGGGACTATAGGCATGCACCACCATGCCCTAATATTTTATTATTATTTGTAGAGATGGGGTCTGGCCATGTTGCCCAGGCTAGTCTCAAACTCCTGGGCTCAAGAGATCCACCTGCCTTGGCCTCCCAAAGTGCTGGGATTACAGGCATAAGCCACAACACTAGGCCCCTTCCTTTCTCTTAATATCACTTTCAAATCAGCTGCAATATCATTGGTTTTGTAATATTACTCTCTTGCCCTTTATCTACCTTTCTTGCTGATAATCAAACTCTAGGGTCCAATTTGCATTTCTAAAATGACATAGCTGTTTTGGTGGTCATTTATGAATTAAAGATGGACCATTTCTGCCACCTACATAAAAATAATAATGGAAAATCGAGATAAAAAAGATGATTCTTAAAAAGACCAATAAGGCTGGGTGTGGTGGTTCACGCCTGTAATCCCAGCACTTTGGGAGGCCAAGCTGGGCAGATCATGAGGTCAGGAGATTGAGACCATCCTGGCTAACATGGTGAAACCCCGTCTTTACTAAAAATACAAAAAATTAGCCGGGCGTGGTGGCACACACCTGTAGTCCCAGCTTCTCGGGAGGCTGAGGCAGAAGAATTGCTTGAACCTGGGAGGCAGAGGTTGCAGTGAGCCAAGATTGCGCACTGCACTCCAGCCTGGGTGACAGAGCGAGATTTTGTCTCAAAGAAAAAAGAAAAAAAAAAAACAATAAAATGGTCCAATACATGGCAAAACTGTCCAGGAAAGGAAGATAAAGTGCCCAAATAAACTCTATTAGAGACATAAAATAGCTAAAAATAGATATTGAAATGGTAAGCAAAGATTATAAACAAATGAATAGCAATAAATTTGAAAACACAATTGTAAAAGAAAATATATATTACATAGATTCCTCTTGCCTGGTATGGAATATTATAAAGTTTATACAGAATGTGTTCTTTTCTGTATGGCTACTTTCACAGAGTACAGTGAGATTCATCCATATTGTTTTGTGTTGACATGTAGACACAATGCACTTATTTTCATTTGCCATATAGTATCCTACTATGTGAATACACAGAAATGCATTTATCCCTCTATACTACTGATTGACATGCTACTGGGTTGTTTCTAGTTTGGAGTTCTTAGGAATAATGCTGTCGTAACCGTTCCTACATAGGTCTTCTGGTGCTGGATGTATACCTAGGAGTCAAACTAGTGTGTCACAGGATACGTATATATTCAACACTATTGGATAATAGCAAACAGGTTTTCAAAGTGGTTATACCAACCTGCATTCCTTCTAGTGGTGTATTAGAGTTCCTACTGCTTTACATTCTTACCACCCCTTGTTATCTTCAGTCTTCTTAATTTTAGGCATTCTGATTGGTTTGTAATTACATCTCCCTGTAATTTTAATTCACACTTCACTAATTTTTCATAAGTTTGCTGGTCATTTGTACATCCTTTTTTGTGAAATATCCCCTTAGGTCTTTTCCTCCTTTCTTTTTTATACTTTAGAAAAATTTAAACAATACTGAAATGATGTGCTTCTTAAAGATTTGGTAGAATTCCCACACAAAACCATCTGGGCCTGGTTCAAATTATAAATATTTATTTATTTATAAAGGGAGCACAACACTGATAGAAAACACAACAGAAATTGTTGAGTTATTTAGTAAAAATTAACTAAAGACTCCTGATTCTAATTTACGAGTGATACCACACAGTGCTAGGAATTGACTGTTGTGTATTGTATTCTCAGCCATGATCATTCATTCCTGCATAACTCTAGGCTATCCCTAGATTGCAGGAGCTGGAAACCAGGAACCCTCAAGGGTTCTGAACGACTGAAAATCAGATGTGGACTGGAACTTGTAAAAAAGAGGAAGCCATTCTTCTTCCTCAGGCAGTGGTACCAAAAGTCCAGGCTTCAAAGATAGGTGGTTTTGGGGAAGGCCTCTGTCCCATCTTTCCATTGAGCACCATCCCTCATTAGGTACTGGGAGAGACTTGTGACATGGGCACCTATTTCCTCCAGGTCCTGATCTCTGGTGGCAACAGCAACTTTTTGACTATTGATAAACCTAAAAATTAGTGGGGGTTTCTAAGACCCTTGCTTTCCTAGCCCTCCCAACAGTTTGGTGAGCACCTAATTTCCTGTAGCAAATAAATTTCTGCTTGAAATATCTAGAGTGGTTACTGCTGTCCTCTGACCCCTGACTGCTACACGCTCCCTTAAAGACAGGGATAATATGACAAGTGTTTAACAAGTTGTACAGCACAGACACTGACAGTTCCAAGCGAATACCAGGCAGCATGCTACCCAAGTGTGTACTGGCTGGATTCTGCCTGCCTTAGAGGGCATCTGGAAATATGGAAGAGTATCTCAGGTCACACAATCCCTGAGGATTGTCACTGCTACTTAGTGTTTGGGAACCAGGGAAGCAAGCTGTTCTGCAAAGCAAAGGATAGTTCCATACAATGAAAATTTTTCCTGCTCAAAATTTCAGTGGCATCCCCACTGAGATAACTGCTGTGGAGCAAACTCATGTATGAATATTGATAAAAGAATCTTATATAAAATATTAACAATAGTCCCTGAGAGCATATTGAACTACTACATTGGTACCGTGTGGGGTTTTCCCAAAATCCAAGGATGATACAATAAAAGTGAATATGTTAATATGATTCACTATGATAACAAGTCTGAGAAAACTCAAAAACTTTTTTCTGTAGACTGTGAAAAGGCATTTCACAATTCACTATAAGTATCACTTATAGCGACTATTTTTTACCATATTCAATAAATTAGGAACCAATGAATACTTAGTTAATTTAATGAAATGTATCTCTCTCTGCCCAAAAGGGAGCATCTGTTTAATTGGGAGATGTTGGAAGAAATCTACTAAAGTTAGGAAGAAGATAATGAGATCAACTCTGGAGGGCTACATCATTCTTCATGAATTGGAAGATTCAATATCATAATGATACCAGTTACTATGATAACAATGTCAGTTCTCCCCAAGTGCAATCCCAATCAAAATCTCAGCAGATTTTTGCTTGTGAAAACTAACAGCCTTATTCTAAAATTTATATAAAAACGCAAATAGCCAAAGTAGTCTTGTGGAAGAACAAACTAGATGTTCACAGGACCAGATCCGAAGACTCATTAGAAAGCTATAGCAGTTAAGAGAGTGTAGAATTGGCACCAGGACAAATAAGAAAGTTCACAAACAACTCATCTACATACGGAACAAAGGTGACATGAGAAAGGTAATAGGGGAACAGTGAGTTGTTTAATAGATTCTGGTTCATTATGTGAAAAAAGTAATGTGAATGCCTATTGTACTATATACAAGGCAGACTCTAGATGGATTTATGACCTATATTTTAAAGGTAAAAATATAAGAAATATAAACTAAAATTATAAAAACATTTCAGTTCAGGGTAAGCAAATATTTTTATTAAATAAGAGCCCTGGACAGGCGCGGTGGCTCAGGCCTGTAATCCCAGCACTTTGGGAGGCCGAGGCTGGTGGATCACGAGGTCAGGAGTTCAAGACCAGCCTGGCCAATATGGTGAAATCCCATCTCTACTACAAGTACAAAAATTAGCCGGGCATGGTAGTGTGCACCTGTAGTCCCAGCTACTCAGGAGGCTGAGGCAGAAGAATCGCTTGAACCCGGGAGGCAGAGGTTACAGTGAGCCAAGATTGCACCACTGCACTCCAGCCTGGGTGACAGAGTGAGACTCTGTCTCCAAAAAAAAAAAAAAGGAGCCTCCAAAAGTTTAAATCATAAGGCAAAGGAGGGGAGAGATTTGGCTCATCAAAATTCAGCTTTTTTTTTTTTCAGTAAAGTATCCATGAACAAAGTTAACAGAAACTTGAGATAACTGAATCTTTGAAACCAACATTTGATTAATTTTTACAACGCAATGTAGATAGCACTGTGTTAACGAGTAAGAAAAAGGCAGAAAATTAAATGAAAAATAGGCAAAGGGTATGAACAGGTAATAGAAGGAGAAGCCTACATAATATGCGAAGAGATGCTCAAAATCACTAGTCATCAAAGAAACTGAAAATAACAACAGCAATAGCTATCACTGGATAATAATGAGATTGGTAAAAAAAAAATAGGAAATTTAATAACACCAAATTTTGGTGAAGATGTACATTGAGTGAGAATATAAATTGTAACTGCCATTCGGGAAACAATCTTGCGGAACTTTGTTAAATTAAGTGTATTTCCCATGGCCAGGCAACTCTATTTGGCTACATATAGCAGGAAAATGATTGCACAGATACACAGATACATAAAAGGACCTATAGAGGACACTCATTCCAGTATTGTTTGTGATGGTAGGAAGCTATATGTCCAGCAATAGGGGTATATAAAATATAATTGATTTACACCAGTAATTAGGCAGATAAGAAGAAATGAAGTAGAAAGTGTTGAATAAGAAAAGTAATATAGAGAATGAGGTCTATAGTTTGGGTGACCATACATCCTGATTTGTCTAGACAGTTCTAATTTATACCTGTTGTATAATTATTAATAGCACTCCCATTCTCATGGGTTTAGGCAATATACTGAATGGTTATCCTACCTATATAATAACATCACATTGTGAACAGTGAATCACGAAAACACTCAAAACAACACTATTTTTGCTACATGCAAATTTAAGGACATGGATTAAGGAGGGGACCTATGTTAGGGTAATACACCGGATGAAAGAAACGAAACAGAAGAGTGACAATGACTGTAAAACTCAATATGATTAACTCTGCTCTCTGCTCTAAAGTTCAAAAAATTTAATATTTAACTATAGTTTATTAAAAATTCAACACTTACAGTACTTCTGGTACTAAAAATGCGATAGTTTGGGCTGTTAGTGGAATACCTGTGGAGGAAGAGGCCAAGTATAAATATTAAAACTAATTTATTCTTCAAATATGAGGATTCTCTACATGGTCAGGGCATAGCTGGGCTGCCAGGAGTGTCACCTTTCTGCCTCATTCCCTTCCTTGACAGCAACTCAGGGCTAAAATTGGGGCTATCAGTGACCTCTACCCACATCTCTAGATGTGTTAGGGTTTGCTCAGTATCTAAAGACAATAAAATGAGAAGTTAATACTCTTTACCTGGTTTTTTTTTTTTTTTTGTAAGATGAAAACTCTTGAAGAACACTGGCTCTAACTCCTTCACTTATAAAGAGTTAAAGTAAGAATAACAAAGATTGGAGTTTTAAAAACGCAGTATTTCTCTTTTTTTTTTGTTTTTGAGACAGGGTCTTGCTCTGGAGTACAGTGCAGTGATCTTGGCTTACTGCAGCCTTGACCTCCCAGGCTCAAGTGATCCTCTCGCCTCAGCCTCCCGAATAGCTGGGACTACAGGCGCATGCCACCACGCCCAGCTAATTTTTGTATTTTTTAGTAAAGACAGGGTTTTGCCATGTTGCTGCGATGGAGGGTTCTTAATTCCCGTCTATCTGATTCATCTAACAGAGCACTGTCCAATATAATACAAGCCACCTCCTATTAATTAAAAATGTTCAAGTAGCTACTTTAAAAGCACAAGAAGAAATGGGTGAAATTAATTTTAATAATTTTTAGCTTTTAATTAAAACTAAACAAATTAAACTTAAAATTAATTAATTTTAAGTTTTATTCAACATGTAATCAGTATAAAATAATTATTACTGAGATATCTTACATTCTTTTTTCAGACTAAGTCTTTGAAATCTGGTGTGTACATTACACTTACACCACATCTCAATTTGGGCTATATTTCAAATACTCAAAAGGCACATGTAGCTGGTGACTATCATAAATCACCACCCTACAATTCCTTCGCCTTCCATTTGCTTCAAGAATCTATTCCATGTCTACATTGCATACCTAATTGCAACTGGAATTGCTCCATCCCTAAAGCTTTAAATCAGAGGCCTTTTTTCTGTATGTAGAGGAAGAGTTGCTAGGATATCATTATGCAATTCCCTTATCAGAATTATACAAGCCTTAATAGCACTCTGAATTCTTATGTTTAACGGAAATCAGTCACCTTTATAATGAAACACATTTTCTGTATATACAGATCGAATTAAAAAAAAGTCATGTATTTTACATATACCTATAAATAAAAATGAAATCTATTGTCATCAAAGGCTTTTTTTGAAGTGTGAACCACCTCACACTTCTTATGAATCTAAGATCCCTTTCAATACAGAGAGAAAAATACAAGTGGCAAATTTTGTACTTTAATTTACAAAGTTAAATTATGTAATTTAATAAGATCTGGTAGTGAAAGGATGAAATGACCTTTCCTGGCAGGCCTTTTCTCCTCACCTGCTCCCTCAACAGCTTCTCACTCCTACTGGGGCTAAGGATAGGCTAGGGAGAGAACAGTAGCTCAAAGAGTCACGTTTAATTTATTAATTTAGTCCCAGATAACAACGATAATACCTTTTCATCCTTGCTTTATTAATTATGTCTTATATTTAATGTATTCTTGTTGGAAACAGATCTAAGAGGCCCATAGGTGTGTGGGGTGTGCAGATGGACATGTGCTATTTTTTAATGAAAAGGGCACTGTTATATCTCACTCTTGGACCACAACGATCCTCTCCTCTGGCAAAAGAAGGCTGCACAAGGTGAGAGGAATGTAAGAATTCACAGGGGCCGGGGCGCGATAGCTCATGGCTCAGAGCTCATAGTCTGTAATTACAGCACTTTGGGAGGCCCCGGCAGGAGGATCACTTAAGGCCAGGAGTTCGAGACCAGCCTGGGCAATATTGTGAGACCCTGTCTCTACCAATTTTTTTTTTTAATTTAGCCAAGCGTGGTGGCGCGTGCCTGTTGTCACAGCTATTTAGGAGGCCGAGGTGCGAGGAGCGCTTGGGCCCAGGAGTTTCAGGCTTCAGGGAGCTATGATGGCGCCACTGCATTGCAGCCTGGGCAACGGAGCAAGAGGCCGTCTCTAAAACAAACAGACAACCCCCGCCCTAAACAAACAAAAAAGTAAGATTTCATTGGGGCTCAGATGTTCTGAGGACAGCAGCATGAAGGTACTGCGACCTTACTGCAGGAGCTGGAGCAGGGTAGCAAAGTGCTAACTGCGTCCCCTCTCGCTCATGGAAAACTCTCGGGTGGGAGCGGTGGGACACTGGGGCTGGTGTTGGGGAGCCAGGAGACGAGGCAGTGGTCGGCCAGGGCGAGCGGTCCCGAGGCGCATGGGGTGGAGAGCAGGACCCTCCCGCCTGCCCCGCCGGGGGTAATCCCCGCCTAGTCGCTCGCCTGCGACTGGCGTCTCTCTACCTCCAAAGGGCGGAGCCATAGCAGCTCAGCCACAGCAGCAGCACGGCCACTTCCCGGGCTGACATGGCGCCTGCTCCGCCTCCGCCCAACCGCCTCGGCCACTCCCGTCCAGGCCTCGCGCATTCCCGTGGGACGTCGGCCCGGCGGGCGGCTGCAGGCGCCTGGGTCCCGGCGCCTCTGGACAGGGCGGGCCGGGCCTGAAGACCAGCGAGGGAGAAGTGTGCGCGTGCGCGTGCGCGCCGCTACCTGGGCTCCCTAGAGGCCTGAAAGTAGCCGGAGTGCGAACCTGCACACGAGATTTTAGGAAAGGCAGAACCAGGCTTTCCAGCAGTGAGATAGCAAAAACACTTCGAAAAATCTGAGTTGCCAATTAAAAGAAAAAAAGAAGGAAGGAAGGAGGAAGGAAAGAAAAAGAAAAATCCAATTTGCCAGAAAGAATGTGAAACTTTTAAGGTAGTGTGTCTTTTAGCCCAAATCTTCATGTGACTGCGTATAGACACTGCAATAGCAAATACATATCTGGCAGTGCTTTCCAGGGAGCAGGCACGCCATAAGTGATTTTTGTTGTTGTTTGTTTTTGAGAGAGTCACACTCTGTCCCCCAGGCTGGAGTGCAGTGGCGCGATCTGGCTCGGCTCACTGCAACCTCCGCCTCCGGCGTTCAAGCGATTCTCCTGCTTCAGCCTCCAGAGTAGCTGGGATTACAGGCGTGCGCCACAAGGCCCTGCTAATTTTTGTATTTTGAGTAGAGACGGGGTTTCACCATCTTGCCCAGGCTGGTCTCCAACTCCTGACCTCAAGTGATCCACCCGCCTCAGCCTCCCAAAGTGCTGGGATTACAGGCGTGAGCCACCAGACCTGGCCAGGCACAGCATAAATGATTTTTATTTAATTAATTTATTTATTTATTGCAGGAGACTGGAGTTTTATTATTACTCAAATCAGTCTCCCCAAGCAATTGGGGAGCACAGTTTTTAAGGATAACTTGGTGGGTTGGCGGAAGCCAGTGAGCCAGGAGTGCTGATTGGTCAGGGGTGAAATCATAGGGAGTAGAAGCTGTCTTCCTGTGCTGAGTCACTTCCTGGGTGGGGCCACAAGATCAGATGAGCCAGTTTACTGATCTGGGTGGTGCCAGCTGATCCATCAAGTGCAGGGTCTGTAAAATCTCTCGAGCACCGATCTTAGGAGCGGTTTAGGGCAAGTCAGAATCTTGTATCCTCCAGCTGCATGACTCCTAAACCTGATTTCAAATCTTGTGGTTAATGTTAGTCCTACAAAGGCAATCTAGTCTCCAGGCAAGAAGGAGGTCTGCTTTGGGAAAGGGTTGTTACCGTCTTTGTGTAAACTATAAACTAAGTTTCTCCCAAAGTTAGTTCAGCTTATGCCCAGGAATGAACAAGGACAGCTTTGAGGTTAGAAGCAAGATGCAATCCGTTCAGTTAGATCTCTTTCACTGTCTCAATCATAATTTTGCAAAGATGGTTTCAATCCTTCCCTTTGGGTAGGCTATGAAGATGGGAGAAGGCCGTTGATAGCTCTGGCTTCTTCCTGCTGACAGGGGAGGTAATGGGAATGGGAGTGAACCCCAAGGTGAGAAGAGTGGAATTGCTTTGCAACTGTCTGAGCAACTCATGCAGGCCTGGTTGAGTTTCCAAGAGTTGCATGGCAAACACATTAGTACTCTCATCTATAGTTTTACTACAGTGTTTAAGTGAACAGCCTGCTATAAGGTAAATAATGAGTCCTAGTTTGAGGAGTACAATTCCCAATTTTAAAAGTAAAGATTTGAAAGCATTAGTCTGGGGACTTCTAACCCACAAATAATTTAGTGTGTAGTCTAAACTGCACAAGAAAACCTCAAGACCAGCTAACAACTGTATACTATAGTTTTTCTTTTGAAGCATAATTTTTCTCTCTCCAGTCCCCATTTTTATTCAAAACAAACCATGATAGAACCGATTTGTTTACAAAATAAACTTTAGTCTTACTGTACTTGGCCTGATTATTTGCATAAAGTGCAGCAAGAATAATTATTTTTCACTTAGGCTTTTTTCATTGGCTCTGATAGAACTCTGTTCCATGAAGGATCTCAGCTAAGACTTTTTAAAAGCCAAGCCCAGGCTGGGCGCGGTGGCTCATGCCTGTAATCCCAGCACTCTGGGAGACTGAAGTGGGTGGATCACAAGGTCAGGAGATCAAGCCTGTCCTGGCCAACAAGGTGAAACCCCATCTTTACTAAAAATACAAAAATTAGCTGGGCATGGTGATGCATGCCTGTAATCCCAGCTACTCAGGAGGCTGAGGCAGGAGAATTGTTTGAACCTGGGAGGCGGAGGTTGCAGTGAGCCGAGACTGAGCCACCGAACTCCAGCCTGGCGACAGAACTAGACTCTGTCTCAAAAAAAAAAAAAAAAAGCTGAGCCCAGCCTCAAATACCTATGAGTTGGTATTTGAAAATTCCTTTCCTCTTGAAGTCCCAAGATAACTTGGAGTTCCTGGGCCTGTTAAAAAGTGACATTCTTTACTTACCACAGGTCAGGAACCTTGCACAGACACTCTGTGTGGACAAGGTATGAGGCCAGATTCCCCAATGGGCTTTAATTGGCTCTATAAGTGAACTTTGATTCTTTAAAGGAAGCATGCCATTCCAGTCAAAGCCTTGGTAAAATAACCAATTTCTCCAATTGTGTTCTGTTACAAAAGAAAACAGATTCTTACTGCACTTATGCAATTAACTATACTGCCATAAATTGAGAATATTCACAAATAGTTTCCAAATTCTGGAGAAATCAGGTAGAGAGGAACAAATATGCTCTAAATTTTGTTCACAGGAGTATATTTTACTCACTTGTTAGAAGCTGCAAATAGCTCTAAAGAAATAAGTTCTCTCGACTCTGAAAACAAAAGGTTTAGCAATGTTTAACACATTAGCTCTCCATGAGAGTCCTAGAAGTTTGTTTTTTTTTCCTCCATTCCAATAGCACAATTTTTAAAGTTATCTGAGACCTGCACTCAGAGTCCTATATCTGACATATAAACTGCCTTTTGAAAAGGACCAAAGCAAGACAAAATGTCTGTGGATGGCAAAAGCCTACACCCACTATTAAAGCTACAATTGACTAGGAATTTTGGTTACTTCTGTGGCATACAACAATTTTACATAACCATTATAATAATTAATAATGTACACTAAATTATAACATTATAGAAATTTCCCATAATTTTGGAACACATACCAATAACATATTTATACAAATACAGTCCCAAAGAAAACCAAACGCCATTCCCTCTTCTATTTGAAAGGTTTTTTCTATTCTAATGTCACAGTCTCCCAGAGTTATTAATCAGAAACCTGCATTTAAGAGCACCTGTTAAATTTTCTAGCCAATTATAAAATCATCTTTTAAAGAGGACCAAAGTGAGACAACAGTTGTCTGTGGATGACAAAAACATTTTAGGGCAGCCACTGTTAAAGGCACAATTGACAAAGACATTTACCTCTGTGGCACACAGTCATTTAACATAATAATTATAATTATTACTGATAACATATCCTAAGTCATATTAGAATTATAGCAGTTTTACATAATTTTGGAACATATACCAATAACACATTTACACAAATATAGACCAAAGAAAGCTGAACACCATTTTATATTTGACAATGCTTCCTGTATGATTTTTGTACCAAATAAGCCAAATGTCATTTTTGGACTTTAGAGGACTTAATATCTAAAATACTAAGTTAGAAAGAGACATAATTTATAATTTGATTTTGGAAAGTCTGTCAAATATCAAAGGTTTAAAACACTGGATATCACAAAATAGAATCCCAGGTCACCATAAGTCATTCATTTGGCCAAAATGATAACTCCAAAACAATTTAAAGAAAAAGAAAAACCTTTACTGTGATACAGATGACTTACCTTTCCAAAGAAGATCCAATGAAGATAGCATGAGGCCAACTGAATCTGTCTCTTCTCTCTCTCCTCCTTTTTTTCCCCTGCCATTTATCCAAAGGAAAAAACAAAACCCTTTCATTATCTTTTAACATTACATAAAAATCATCTTCAAAAGAGAAAACCAAATTTCATGTGCATCTTTAATGCTAAAGCTAGTTTTTTAAATAAAGTTTTATATATCCAGTTTTAATTACTTTGACCATAAGGTAAGATTTTCATAAACTTTATAGAACCCTTTACAATTTTCCATCAAACAGCAGATCAGTTTTCTAAGAAAACCCTGTGATTTGGACACAGGGGCCCAGATTTTGGACACAGGGGCCCAGATTCTGGCCCCACATCAGTACGATTTTAATGTTTTAACCTACAGAAAAAAGCTAAATAATTTCTTTCAGCTCTTAGCCAACTGGTTTATACCCACAGAATTTTTTTTAGATTCACCCTTTACAAACCTTTTTCACTTTGCTTAAACCTTCAGTTTTGTTCCGTTACTGTTTTAGGGTAAGACAATCTTTAAAAGCCTCTGAACTAGACAAAATTACATTCCCTTTAACAAAAGCCATATTCCTATGCCTTCTTACAATCTTTTACCAAAAAACACCTTCCTTACACACCTTGTATGTAAAACTGTTTCTCCAGTAATCTCAATTTCATGTTACAGTGTTAATTCTTAGCAACTTTCATTTTAGTGAAAAACCGGATAAGTAAGTGAGTTAATACTAGGGATGGAGCCTAGGACACCAGACAGAAGTGAAGATAAGGCCTGACTGTTTTCAGCATAACTAGGGGCATGGCTGTCCATGTGTCCCCAGGCCTTATCTATAGCCTAATGCTCCAAAGTAGGTAAATCAAATGATTTTCAAAAGTCAAAGGAACAGTTTGACTTTAAAGCATTTAGCAAATCTGATATCTGATCTTAATTTAGACCAAATGTCTGTATTTTCATGACATTTTATTTTACCAAAAATCTTTAAAACTGTCTTTATTTCCAAAAGATTACTAAAGTCATGTGAATAAAAAGGCATTAAAATTTCTATTTTTCTGACAAAATATGTGATGTAAGCGCTCATTTTTCTAAGGCAATTAATCAGAGCTCTTTTATATATAAACATCACACACCAGAGAGAAGATTCAGCACCTGTAAGATTTTTTGTTTGCCAGTTTCTTAATTGGATTACTGGCTTCAGGGTGGAGCCCCTGGAGGAACAGGGCTAGGAAAGCTTGTGTTTCTAGGGCCAAACAAGCAGCTGAAGGCAAAGACGGATTCTTAAAATTAAGGGTGCCGCTTTACACTGGATCCTGGATCCCAAGAGGACGGAAATACTTCGAGAGAAGACAGTGCAGTGCTTTTACCAACTATGCATTTCACTGCAACGCAACCCAAAGCCAATCAGTCCATTTGTAATTAGACCATCCCCCATGGGATTCTCATCTCTCTGTTGGGGGGCGGGGGGGTGTTTCCATGTCTTCCAGGTGGCCAAAGCATGCTTCTCTGATCCAAGTGTGCGAAGAGCCAAGTATGCCTCCGTAACTACTATTAGCCAACTCCTAAAGTATATTTCCTACCTAGTTGTTATACACCAAAGCTCTCTCAGAATGAGAAGTAATTTCTGATGCCCCTAAAACTCAAAACCGTCAGATAACACAATGCAAAACAGAATAGAGCCTTGGATTTTGAGAGGGATCTGTCTGCTTTTAATTCTTGGGGTTTCATGAGGAAAACAGAGCTTTTTTCCAAAACGGGGTCTGTGGTGCCTCCTGTTTTTCCCAAGGAGTCCCAGGCTACCAGAAGCTATCTCAGGGCCTCTCATGTGTACATTAAGATAGGCAAAACAAAAAAGTGGAGGAAAATAATTCAGTTGACTGAGAAGGAAAAAAAGACCTTTTTCCAGAAAAATAATCTTTTTCCAGAAAAACAAGATCCAAGAAGAGAGAAACATAAAGGCCTTTTAAATATACCTACAGCTTGTTTATCCACTTTTAATTAAGCTGACTTTTAACCATAGCGCTCTTTAAAAAAAAAAAAAAACCCTTAAAAATTTTATACCCAACTTTAGCCACGCCAAGCGGCCAATATTTTTGGCTTTTGAATTCTACCACAGGTAACTTCCCACCTGAAATTAAGTTTTAACTAAGTTTATAACCATGGACACACAGGTGTCTCAAAGAGATGGTAAGCAGTTTTTTTTTCTACAAGATGTAGAATCTCCCCCAGGGTAGTTTAGAGAAAGGAAAATTCAAGACAGGAAATCAGAAGCTATTCATGGGAGCGGGGGGACGCGGGAACCTCAATAAATGGCAAAGTTACAGAAATAAAAAACCAGAAGGGAATCATTCCAGAAGCCAGGAATAGAACCCAGACCCCCCACTGTCAAGAGGCAAAACCTTAGCTACTGAGTTACACAGTATTGAGCAGTTTCTATTGTGCTTCCCAGAAGGAGCCTACAGAAGCCAGTTTCAAGCTTGCAAAGGCTTTTAACTGCTCAAGAAAATTCTTAGGGCTAACCTAAAAATCCCCAAATTCCTGTCTTCTAGATGGTGGAAACCAAGAGAAAGTATCTCCACATGGTCACAAAGTTAAGCTCTTCAGGACACAAAACAAGACAGAGAAATTTCATACAGTATTGGCTTCAGGGACCTGTAGCAAAGTTTGTAACTGACCAGCCTGCCAAGCCGGCTTGAAAAGCAGGCTTATAGGGGTCCTAAACCCACGTTCTATCCTGTGACACCCATCTATCCACTACAGAACACAGAAAGACAAATTCTTAGCACAAAACTACACCAGATTTGCTACAGCCTAAGACTAGTCTCACAAATCCTTTTTTCCATTTATCAAACCCTTGCAGAGGAGGTAAACAGTTTACTATTTACTGAGAAAGAGAGAGAGAGACCACAAACCGGTCCGGTAAGAATTTCATACCCTCTGTGCCGGCATACCAGATTTCCGGGTTCCCTTTCTCTGCAGTTTCCAGAAGAATGGAGTGGCTTTTGATGACCCTGCTTGCTTGTGCTATAGCTGTGGGGTTCAAGCCACTTTACAAGAGAAAATCACCCTTTACTGTTTTATGGAAACATAGACGAGATTCTTAATTTGCAAGATGCTGCCCAGCGGGCTGCATGGGGAACCGAATTAACATTTTCCATCCCAGCAAAACACACATAACAAAACACACATTAGCCACCTCGTTCAGCTCCCAATATCAGCCTGGCAAAGCTCAAAAACTTTTTCTCTTTGGTCCCTGTTGTCTTTGATCCACTCCAGGTGGGGAGGGATGACCTCCGAACGGTAATTCACAATGGGGTCTCTGGGCAAGACGAAGAGCAGATAGTCACCCCGAGACAGGCCTGTTGAGCCTTCTGTAGGGCTCATCAAATGTGACCAGACAAATAAGGAGGGTTTTGAGTTAGGTCTGCTGGACTTCCATCAGCAACCTCTTCTGAGATCCCTTCCACATATACAAACGCACACAAAGACGAGAGGACAGAAGGCGTTCCCAATCAGATCCCTAACCAAGAACTCCGGGAGTATCCCTTCCAAACTATCCTCCTATTCTCCTTCTGAGAAACCTCCTTGAAATCTTCCTGATTCAGGAGAAGTCTCCCAAACCTGGACTCTTCCTACTAGTTAGAAAGAGCCAAATGAGACCCCCCCAGGAGCCGAACAGACACCCTGCAATGGGGCTACAGACACCTCACCATAGGGCTACAGAACCAGTTGGGAGAAAGGAGGCGTTGGCAGCACCTAGGATACTCACCAATCCAGACACCCTGCCCTGCAATGGGGCTACAGACAGACACCCTGTGATAGGGTTACAGTTAAGGGACGTCTCCCCGGGGCTATTTCTCCATTGCAATTAAATCCATGCACACTGGGTTGGCAGCACCCCACCAGTAGAGAGAGTACCAGAGTCAGCCCCCAGTCCAAGAGAACTGGGTGGCCGCTTGGGCAGGCTTCTGGATCCATTGCTGGAGGGGGGCCACTGAACCACGAGTAGGTAGCCACAAAGGCAATGCCAGACAAGCCCCCAAATTTGTAACCGCCCAAGGGGTTCACCTTGTCCACTGCCTAGACAGAGCCAATTCATCAAGACAGGCAAATGGCAATAGAGAAAGAGTAATTCATGTAGAGCTGGCTGTGCAGGAAACCAGAGTTTTATTATTACTCAAATCAGTCTCCCATAAATGATTTTAAAAAATTGAATGGAAATGACTAGTAAGGTGTGCTTATTCAGTATCTACTATCTGCCCAACACTACCTCGGGCATTTGACTAGAAAGAAATAGATGGCATTCTTGTTTCCAAAATGTTTGTGATCTTGTAATAAGGCCAAGATAGACAACAATTATCACATAGTATTATAATTGTTTACTAATCAATAGACCAAATAATTTGAATCCTTGAGGGCTGAATTGTATCTTTATTTCTCCTATGTTATCAGTGCCCAGGACACTTAGTTAGTTAATAGCAGGTTCTCAATGTTCCTGACTTAACTCATTGACTAGAAATAAAATACTAAAGTGTACTCTAGGGACCATTAGTGAACATACAGTATGTACAGGCGATTTGGGAGACGGTACATATAATGTGATTCCATTCCCACTTTTTTTCGAAGCACCTTTTATCAGAATTAAACATCATAGTTAATTTGTGTTGGTGTCGAAAGGGCATTAGATGAACAGTAGGTATACACCAGAATCTAGTTACAAATGTAACTGAGAGACAGTGGAATCTACAGGAAGGACATGGGCTCTGGACTTAGATTATCGAAGTACCAATTCAAGCCTCACTAGGGCAAGTTACCCAGCTTTTAAATCCTGTAAAATAAGGATAATAGAGGATCACCTACCTTATATGGTTGTGGGGATTAAAAAATAAAGAAGTGCATGACGGTATCTGCATATATGTACTATATGCGACATAGGTAATCCACTCCTCCTCTCTGAGCCTTTGTTACTACTATGTAAAATGAGGATTAGGACTTTATTTGATCTATTGATTTCAGGTCTCATGTCCTTTATCTTATTGCCTTACTTTTGAATTTTGTCTTTTTTGATCCCTGTCCCCATCTCTGTTACTTCCGGACTTTTAATTTCCAATTCTACACTTACACGTTCCGATTTTATGCTGTTTGTACTGCGAAATTCCACAGTTTGTATTTTGTACACATTCATTCCTTAATAAAGACAAATCCAGACAAACCTGCAGATGGCAGACACAGTGGCCCCAGAATACACCGCCGCAGCCCAGAGCGTTGCATGCTGGGATTTGTAGTCCGACGCTCCACACGCGCTTCCGCGCCTCTCCAGTTTGAAAGCGAGAGGTAGAGCGGGTAGGCGGGGTGCTGAAGGAGAAGCGCTCTCGAAGCCCCGCCCCTGACCTTTTCCGCTCGCGAGGTTTGCACGGGAGTGGCGCGCCAGGCCGCGGAAGGGGCGTGGCCTCGGTCCGGGGTGGCGGCCGTTGCCGCCACCAGGGCCTCTTCCTGCGGGCGGTGCTGCCGAGGCCGGCCTGCGCGGGGCAGTCATGGTACCCCCTTGAGCGGGCTGTGGCGGAGAGCGGGGCGGGGACTGGCTGGAGGGTGGCGGCCCGGCGGGGCGGGGGCGGGGCCGGCCTCTGGCTCCTTCTTCCTCTGCATGTGGCTGGCGGCCGCAGAGCAGTTCAGTTCGCTCACTCCTCGCCGGCCGCCTCTCCTTCGGGCTCTCCTCGCGTCACTGGAGCCATGGCGTTCGCCGAGACCTACCCGGCGGCATCCTCCCTGCCCAACGGCGATTGCGGCCGCCCCAGGGCGCGGCCCGGAGGAAACCGGGTGACGGTGGTGCTCGGTGCGCAGTGGGGCGACGAAGGCAAAGGGAAGGTGGTGGACCTGCTGGCGCAGGACGCCGACATCGTGTGCCGCTGCCAGGTGAGGCGACGGGGCCTCTCATGGGAAGCCGGGCCCGGGAGCTCGGGCTGCCTGGCTCCTGGTGCCCGGGAACTCGGACCCAGAACCCGGATCCACTGGCCAAAATGAGGTGTCACCTTGAGGCTCTCTCCTCCTGTCCTGAGCTGCGGCTACGTGGAGAAATGGCGGGAGGTCGGGGACCCCTGACCTGGAGCGTCGGGTGAAACTTGGGGTGGCCCTGGAGGAAGAGGTGGGCTGGCGGGGAGCCTTTGAGAGATGCGCGATGCCTGGCAGTTGCAGTTTTGCGTCTGGCGAGTGGTGCTCAGCGCCGGGACTGAGGCCGGGGTGGAGGTGGGATGCGGTCCGAGTTTGAGGAGCTACCGCCCGAGGCCTGCTCCCAACTCTTCCGACTGCGGGCGGAGACCCGGCGCGACGGCAGAACCCCCCATCACCGCCCCCCCGCCCCGCCCAGGGCGGCGGAGTGGGAGTGGATTGTTTCGAAACGTCCTGAAATCAGACTCACCGATCCCCCATCTGCAGGACCGTGGCATGCAGTGCTTTGCTTCCTCTGGTCCACTTTGTTGACATCCAAACCCACCCACCTCTGGGCTTTGGACTGTTGTTTTAGGGCCCTGAGTTTCTTGTTTTTGTTTTTGTTTTTACAGTGTGCTCCATACATGAAAGTTAAGGAGAAATTACTTTTACTAGTTGGTCCCAGAGGAAGGAATCCCTTCTCTGTTCAAAAAAAGTGAGGGAAGTAAATACATGGATGTCAAATTGAGTATTTGGAAATAAATATTTGCATTGTTAAGGTGACATCGAAAGTGAACTTTCGGAAAACGAGGTGGTAATGTACTTCTAACGGGAGACACGTGGTTTTCAGTGTAACCTTTCTTCCTATTTGTCGTTTCCTTTGACGCAGCATACAGGGTAAGGCCTTTGTAAAGGCTCTCAGATAACTCTCTCCAGTTTCAAAATTCTAAGCAGATGAGCAATAACCACTTTCAAAACAAAGCATAATGTAATATTTGAAGTTAACTGCTATCTGTTTAGGTTGCAAGAATATTTGTTTTTGAACATGCATGGCATGATATGATGGTGCCATGCTGTATATGTTCTAGTAAGTTATAGGCCCCCTTGAATACCATTTTGAGCATGCAGAAACAATGAAATCACAGGTATGTTAAAAAGCTAAATGCAAATACTGCAAATATTCTCTGATTTACCTTGTTTCGTTTTGTTTTGTTTTCATTTAGAAATCCACCCTGCCCATTCTGAAATAGCTGTTGCACTAATTGCCTCTTAGGAAACTGTCACTACCACCTCTCCCTCCTTCCCTTCCAGCCTATTATTTCTCCACCCCTCTGGCAACACACTTTGTACCTTAGCAATCTTCAGGGTGTTGCCATTAAATTCCTGCCCCGCACTTTCTTAGGAAATACTCCAGAAATCCAGCCTTTACCTACCTTTTGTCTTACATTCAGATCTGGTCATGCTGTGGGGAAGACGTATCCGAATACCGAGCTTTCTTGCTGTCGACAGCGGGAGAGAGGCTGAGGCCTGTGTGTCTCCTTCACTGACATCTTGACATCTCGTTAATATGGAAATAGCTCAGGTTGAGCTACACTATGGGTTGTAAGAAGGTTTGGAGAACACAACCATTATGGTATTTATTCTAAAGGATCCTCAATTTTAATATTCTATGGAGAAATATTAGAAGTAGTTTGTAGCTTGGAGAAGGTGTTACTAATGTTACCGAGAAAGTAGTCTTGAAGTCATGGACCAACCTGATCTGATGCCCTTGGAAAGGCTAGAGAAGTGATTGAGAAGGAACTAAGTTTGGCTTTAAAATGTTAGCTGAAGATAGTGGAGAAACAAATGAGGGGCCTTGTTGGGCAGACTTCCCTCACCTGTGTATTTTTGACTTAACTACCTTCCTTATAGAATCCTTATGTTCTTTTAGTGCTTTTTAAAAGTGTATCATTAGGATTCTTTATTAGTCTTGTTAGCAAAAAATAGATGAGTAATGAATAGATTTAAGCATTATCTCTTTTGTGATTTACCTTGGTAACTTTGTATTATTTGGTTAGCCCTAGTAAGCTGGCATCTACTTAATGAAGTTCCCCTAGGTTATAAAATTGGAATGTTGAAGTTCTTAGTGAGTGTGTATAGAGAGCTGGAAAAAATCAACAGTAAGACATTGTGAGCTTGGATTGCCTTGTTTGATGTCTTAAGTTTTGTGTGTTAGTGAAAATATGTCCTTTGTTAGAGTTTAATATATTCTGCCATATTTATGTCATGAGTTCAAATTTTATTCAGTACTGTTTCTCCAGAAGTGATGTACACATAATGTATCCGTATTTCACCAGTAGACTCATAAGGACTTTCTCCCAACATAAAATATAGTTTTAAAAAGAAAAACTGGCATTGCATTTAATGATAAATTTTAATGTATAAAATGCCTTTTTGGAAACAATAGATGCAAACCTAGTGGCGTTTTCACTCTTAACAGCGCTTAAGGCCTGTGTTGTTCAGATTCAGGATTTATGGGGAGTTATTTATAACTTGGTAGGTTCCCCAGATCCATAAATATGTAGGACTTGCATCAAAGGACAACCACTACTGCTGCCTTAATTTTAAATCAATATTTATTTTAAGAAGAAGAGAGAAGAATTAAATAGAGGCCCAACCCTGGGTACAGGTCATTCATCTAGTAAACATTGAGTATCTGCAGGGGATCACTTAGCCTGGGAGTCAAAAATCTGAAAAAGGCAGGGATTGTGCCCACAAGGAGCTCACAATCTGGGGGACAACTGCTGTGTAAGCAAAAGTGTTGAGAAGGTCGGGATGGAGAAAGGTACTAGTCTAATACGTTTCTCAAGAGGTTAAAGTATGGGACCAAGAAAGTCCCTTTCTGGCATCACAAAAGGAAGCCTAATACTGTTTTTTCCCCAGTTCTCTCAAAGTAAAATACTGTGCTTTGTTTTCTGTATTTTGCTGAGTAGAAGCTACAGAAACTTCTTAACTATAGTAGTTTATACCAGGCTTTAAGCAAAGGCTTACTTATTTATTGTTCTTGAGGAAAGTAACTTCGGTGGTCTTGGTTATAATGACACACATGAAGTTGCCTGTGATCGGGAAAGGCTAGAGCAGTGTTCCGTGTGTATTCTCTCCAAGGCTTCAAAGTCAATAAAAAGAGAAAATACTAAAGTTAGTCATAAGGGAAAGCACACCCCATCACTTGATATATGTTTATAAAAGCTTGCTATAAAAATAAACATACTGAAAAAATATTACTATTTTCTAGCTAGATACAAGTATCTGCTGAAGATCTGAAACCACTATTAGTGTTAAAGAAGCATAAAAGACATATCAGCAGCAAACTAAAACTTTCTCCTTGAAATAGAAAAGGTGAAAGATAATTTAAAAGAAAATAACGTTAGTATTATTTAATGCCTTGACCTTGTACAGCTAAAATGATCTGCCAGACTACTTCCCATAATTTTAAGGATAGTAGGTAATTAGCATTTAAGGTAAGCCATTCTTCCAGGTTTATAACAATTGCTATTTCCATTTTTCTGATTCTTTTTATATCATTTATAGCATTTCCCTAGTATATAAGTATTTACCAATGTCTGTTATACTATACTTGGTTAAATCTTGTTCTGTTTGGTTACTGTGCTTTCTCTACTATAATGTAAATTTTCTCAAAAGGGAGACTTCTTCCTTTTCTTATTCTGTAGCACCTAATACTATATGAAGCAGAAGGGAAATACTCAACCAATGTATTCTGGGTGGCAAGATCACCCCTGGAAATTTATTTGAAATAAATAATAGTAACCCTTTCTTGTAATTGTTTTAACATCTCTCTGGACAATTTAATTGACTGGTGGCATACATTTAAGGCGGAATTCCTAGCATTCCTTGGATTAACATTTGTTATTTAGTTTTTCAGCTGGAATTTTTTACATTGTACCATTCAAAGTCTTTGTTTATATTAAAATCTTATCTCTTGTTTTTAGGAGAAAATAGGTAACTGATATTTATATCTTTTTCATGTATCTCCTCAACATATTTCGACTGAATACCATGTGGGGTTCTAGTAACTAGTTATTCCCCGCTGAGGACAGTAAATCTCAATGTTCGGTCAATGAGGATGTCCTATTGCAGTTAGTAAATATAGTATCCTGTCAGCTCTACTTTTGAGGCATGAGTTTTTAAACGTGTATGAGACCATCTCAGTGGTGTCTGATCAAAATTATTCTGTTTCTTTAACTTTGGTGGGAATGGATGGGTTTGTTGGATGTTTACAAGTATCTCTAAGAAAAACTGTTGCCTAGAGCAAATCTAGAATGAACCAATAAATTGATATTTACTTAATAGCTTTCTTTCTGTAACTGGATACGAATCCAGCTATCTTATCTCTCAGGGACTGTGTCAGATGTTGACACCAAAGATTAGTGTGGATGAGCTACATATTGATAAATTAAAATTGGTGACTATTGTAATACTTTTAGCAACAGAAACATCAACATTCAGTATTGCCTGCTGAAAGCAATGAAAAGAACAATAAATGAAGGGGAGTTCCTGTGGCTAATCTGGCTCTGGGATGGGATAGTTCTTTACATTGAACCAAAATTTATATTTGATTCATATAACAAAATTCTTTTTTGAAAAGAGGCTCCATGAGATTTCTAAAAATGAGATTTTTGTCTATATTAAGTTTTAACATCTTTTTTAAAGGAAGAATTTTATTATTGAGAAAACTTTTTTGACTTGAAATCTGTAGTTTAATTTCAATGTGTTTTTAAGAAAATATTTTCATGAATTTAATTAGGTGAATTTTTATCAAACATTTACAAAGAGCTGTGTGACATCGTTGGTTTATACATTTTTGGTTGGATGTCTTATGGCCTCATCTATGACCCTGGTTTGGTGAGTGTGAAAGAATATTAGAGTTTGGTACCCAGAGTCTAAAGCTTCTTAGGAACCTAAGATTCTCTCAGGCAAGGCCCCTTTCCACTTTCATTGTGAGAAGTTATTTCATAATAGTAATGTTAGGTCTAAAATATAAGGTATCTGAGGTTTTCATCATTTGTGACATTTATGTGTGTATGAAACTAGAAGGTAACTATAATCATGCAAAGTAAAGTGGATACCTTTAAACCTTTAATGGATAACTGAGCTGGGATATCTTTGCTAGAAAGAAATTCAGATACCCTGTGTATTTTTTTCTCTTGCTGTCTAGTGTGTCTGGTTACTGCTACATAGTTAAATTTGATCAACTTGCTGGTAGTAACTTAACCTGCTCTACTTTGGAATCATAAGCTAATTGCAGTTATGTGAATGCTTTCATGAAAGAACAATCATCATTTATAACTGCTTTATTGCTGTGGATTGATAAGTGCTTTAGTTTTGGTGAATGGTAACATGTTTCATCTGGAAAGGAGGAGACACAGATCTTACAATCTTTACCCTGAAAGCAGCATAGATAATAAGCATTGACTCCAAAGATTTTTAGGCTCTTAAGAAGTTTGAAGATTAGACAAAAAAATAGCAACCCTTTTTTGGTTGCTGAAATAGTTCAGGGGCATGGGATCTGAGACACTGCTGCTCTCTCCTGTAATCCATAGTGGCCACTGACTTCCTGATGTTCATTTTGAGCTCTGTGATTACAGTAGGTTGTTCATATATTCAAAGCAAAAGGACAAAGATAAGACACAGAGGCCTAACTAGCCTGAAAAATGCCTCTGGGCTTTGTGCATGAAATTGGTAGCCCTTGACACTTGGGCCTGTATTCTGGAAAAGAGACCATTGTTTCAGGTTTACAACACTGAGGATCATTCACTGCCTTCATCTCTCTACCACAGCAGAAATGCACTTGGGGGAGCGAAGAAAGGAGTGATTTAGGGAAGGAGAAGGCCCAGTAGTGAAACCAAGTTAAGAATCAAGAGTCACTTTTGTAAACTAATATCATTTAATTCCTTTCCAAACTTTTTTTTTTTTTAACCTCCCCTGGACCTTTGGAGCTTCTTAGCTAGAAGCTTACACATATTAGCATTTCCTGATCCAAAATTTTATTCTATAATTGGATTTGACAGCCTCTGGTTCTGAGGAGTCATGGAAAGAAAATTCAAAACACTTGTCTTCCGACTTCCTTAAACTAAACATCAAATTAGGAAGAAAAGGAATGCATGGAAAAACTGAGAACAGTTACAGAATAACTAAATACTATTATATCATTCCTCTATCCTGCAGTAATGCTTTAAAGTATTGTCCTTGACAGCATAAAATGTTATTAATATCTAGCAATCATTTTAATATTCAGTTTCACTAGTACAAGATGTAAATTCAGCAAGGTGTATATTATGTTGTAGTAAGTTTTTTTTGTGAATCATTTGTGTTCTTTGTTTGCAAGCAATGGAAAGAAACTATCTCAAGCAAAATGGGGATTTGTTTAAAGGAAGAGCAGGATGGTGGCCTGAGATGAAGCCTGCTCCTGGAATTTCAGCAGCTAGAACTGGCAACCTTTTTCTTTAGGATGCTTCCCGTAGGTGACAGGCATCTCAGACTGCTATTGCTTTCCTTCTCAGTACTCAAATTCAGATTCCCAAGGGAGAGGAGCTGACTGGCTCAGGTTGGAACATGTTTCCCTGCCTGGATCAGTTTGCTGTGGCTGGGGGGATGATTCCTATGATTTGCAAAGTAGGGGAAAAGGAGGGGGACTGAGCATACAAAAGCTATAACTAACCTGGAGTTAATTTTGTATAGGAAAATAAGGTATGAGGAAGCATTTGTTCTGGATTGTTCTCATTTATAAATTGTTTTCCAAAACTCTAATGTGCTATTGACCTGTAGTGCTTTTCTGGAACAAAAAATAGAGTTAAATTGGTTTTTATTATTTTAACCTTAATTAAAATAATGAAAATTAGCTATGTATTGATGGTAAAAACTAAAAGCATACATCAGAAACTTTGCTTTTCAGCTTTGAGAACATAGAATTTTAGTCCTGCTTTTTGTTTCTATCATGATGTTCCAGTTTATTTCATAGCTCTGTGATGAGATACATTTTTTCCTGGTAATTAAGAAGCTTATTTAATATTTTCTTTGTATTTCATCTTTTTTTTTTTTTTTTTTTTTTGAGATGGAGTCTCGCTCTGTCGCCCAGGCTGGAGTGCAGTGGCGGGATCTCGGCTCACTGCAAGCTCCGCCTCCCGGGTTCACGCCATTCTCCTGCCTCAGCCTCCCAAGTAGCTGGGACTACAGGCGCCCGCCACTACGCCCGGCTAATTTTTTGTATTTTTAGTAGAGACGGGGTTTCACCGTTTTAGCCGGGATGGTCTCGATCTCCTGACCTCGTGATCCGCCCGCCTCGGCCTCCCAAAGTGCTGGGATTACAGGCGTGAGCCACCGCGCCCGGCCTGTATTTCATCTTAATGTAAGAATAACAGTCAAAGAAAATTGGTAAAATATATACTATATTAGGGGATGTTTTGTGACTGCAATTGAATTTTCTTTCATATATTGTTCACTTTAATAAAATTAACCTGCATTTATTCTTGGTATTTAATATAAGAAGAACATCATATAAGGCATTATAAGCTTATGCTTTTCCTCAAAGAAACCTGCCACGTAGCTACTTGTGGACTCATGCTGTTTTTTGTTTCTTGGGGTGTTGGTGGGGGGTAGGGTATATTTCAGAAGTAAAATGGTTTAAAAATTGGCCTCAACCTGAAAGCCTGCCATGCAGTGTTGTGGCACTGATGGAAGTGTGAATGAGAAGGCGGTGTCAGCACGTGGCTGGAGAGCCGCTCCGCCACTCTGCCACTCCGCCTCCCTGCCACGTGGCTTGTGAGGAGCCACTAAACCTTTCCGTGCCTAGGCCTCCCCATCTGTGGAATAGTCAGTACCACCTACTTCATAGGGGTGTTGTGCGGACTGAAAAAAACAATGTCAAATGTTTTTAATATTCAGATGCAAGGATGATGTCTGAAATCTGTACTGTATAAAGGCTACACAAAAATGGACAGACATTTGGTTGACTGTGCCAGATACCAAAAATGTACGTTCAGAAAAGCATTTTACCAACTCAGAAATATGACTTATTTCTAGGAAAAACAAAGTTCAAAAAATTATCTCTGAGATTTATTACTAAATGTTTTCCCTGTTGGATATAATTGATCCAGAAACAACGTTGAGATTCCACAGCCCTTTGTTTATATAACTATTAATTGAACATATTCTATTTTTTTGTTAAGTAATATAGAATATACAGCTATGATAATGAAAAGTATTTGTTAAATGCTACAAGAGTGACTGGGATCATAAGTGTTACGGGAGTTTGGCAAAGAAGCAGGAGGTAGTTAGTGTAACTGTTAATGTGATTATAAGACTAATACATTTGTGGGAGATAACTTACCAAGTTTGGTTTGTGGAAAATTTGGATTGAGAAGGAAATTGTATGTTTCCGTTAGAAGTAGAACAACAACAACAAAATATCTCCCATCATTTGTTTGGTACTATCTGGCCTCCCCAGTGCTGCTTGGGAGAATCATGAAACATGATGAATCAAACACATCCTTGCTGTTGCTCATCCTGGCACATATTACACAGAGTTGCCCATGGGCCCATGTAGGAGCAGCTCCATCTGCCCTTCTAATACATAGGTGGGAGACTGAGGGGGTGCTCGTATTTGAAACTGTTTTTGGTTATGGTGCTCATATTTGAAATGCTTTGTTTTACTGTCTGCTAATATGTGACCTCTCCTTGAACCAGTATAATCTCTGTTTGAGGACAATTGCCTGAGCTCCCAAGGTGAATTTTGCCTATTTACATAATCTGAATATTTTAGGTTAACATCCAAATGGGCACTTCAAATTTCTTTATCTGTTGCATTTTATAAAATACAGTATACTAAAACTTGCTTCCTATATAGATTACCTCATCAAGAAACTCCTTATGAGCAGCTCTTTCTCAGTTCTCCTGAAGACCCTTCTGTGTAGTGTGCGTTTCAAGATTAAAAGTTATACCCCAACTGCCTCACAGAGCACTAGTGACCAAATATAAATAAGCACTTAGATATTTCCCCCTAAATCCCACGTAGGATAATCTCGGGTGTTTCTGGGTATATTTAACAATGTTTCCATACGGAAACAACTTAAATGATATTTAAACCATATAATAATCAATGTAATACTGGTTATTGAAAAATGTTGCTATTTTTCAATAACTAATATTTGAATGAGCAAACTTTATACCACCATGTGACTTTGTCTTTTACTGCTGAACTTTCCAGCCTGAGCTGCCTATAAACTTGGACAAACTTAGGGAGTTAAGCCAATTTTTCCCCCTAAAGTCATCCATCACAACCATCTGCCTAAAAAATTTGTGTGTGTGTGTGTGTGTGTGTGTGTAGAGCAACCATCATCTCTTTATTATGGTTAATTCCATCATTACTATCTGTCTTGGTAAAATATTAGCTAAGAGAGTAAGCTTTTGTTACACAATAAGAACATTGTCATTCACTACCAGTAATAATTGTCAAATAATAATTCATCAAATGATTATATTGGTATAGCTATAAAAGTAATTTTGTGTAAATTAGGAGACCTACTTTAAGGGTCTACTCCAAAAATTAGAGTAGTTTATTTTTAACCTTGAGCAAATGATGAATTTTTTAAAACTTTTTGTTTGTTTGTTTGAGACAGAGTCTTGTTCTGTGGCCCAGGCTGGAGTGCAGTGGCGTGATCTCGGCTCACTGCAAGCTCCGCCTCCTGGGTTCACGCCATTCTCCTGCCTCAGCCTCCCGAGTAGCTGGGACTACAGGCACGTGCCACCACGCCTGGCTAATTTTTTGTATTTTTAGTAGAGACGGGGTTTCATTATGTTGGTTAGGATGGTCTCAGTCTCCTGACCTTGTGACCTACCCGCCTCAGCCTCCCAAAGTGCTGGGATTACAGGTGTGAGCCACCGTGCCCAGCCTAAAAACTGGTTTTAAAAAAATAAACTGGTTGTAGTTAGGCAGGGTGACATGCACATGCGGTCTCAGGGACTCAGGAGGCTGAGACAGGAGGATCGCTTGAGCCCAGGAATTCAAGGCCTGCTTGGGCTATAGTGAGACCCCATCTCTAAAAAAAAACCTGGTTTGACTTTGATAATAATACCTTATTTGTTGTCTCAAAATTACCAAATACTTTATAACAACTTAGTAAAAATTCATTAAACTTAGTAATTTTTAACAAGAGGAACTGAAATACAGGTAAGAATTATCCTGTGAGTTATTTTTAAAAGACTAAGTTGGCCGGGCGCAGTGGCTCACGCCTGTAATCCCAGCACTTTGGAAGGCCGAGGCGGGCGGATCACAAAGTCAGGAGATCGAGACCATCCTGGCTAACATGGTGAAACCCCGTCTCTACTAAAAATACAAAAAATTAGCCGGGCATGGCGGCAGGCGCCTGTAGTCCCAGCTACTTGGGGGACTGAGGCAGGAGAATGGCATGAACCCGAGAGGCGGAGTTTGCAGTGGGCCGAGATCGCGCCATTGCACTCCAGCCTGGGAGACAGAGCAAGACTCTGTCTAAAAAAAAAAAAAAAAAGACTAAGTTAAGATAATTAATGTTCTTTTGGTGTATAATATATGTCCTAGGATTCTATCAGAATTGATGATAAAATTACACAAGTGTGAAGTAATAATATATACCAGGAAGTTTATTGCAAGATTGTTTATAATAGCAAAAGATGGGAAACAATCTGAGTGCCTCTCATTATGGGACCAGTATGATAAGTTATGATATATATACATTTACAAAAGGGTAAAATACAACTGTTAAAAGAATGAGATGATTCTGTTTGCAAGGTTATGGAAGTACGCAAGCTGCCCACATGTATATAGTTTGCTACCATTGTATATGTAAAATAAAACAGTATATATGTTTTATATGCATAAATCACCTCAGGAAGGACCAAAAACTTGTGCTAACTGGTTGTCTTACAGCAAGGGTATGAGAAAGGCTTCACATTTTACTGTGCATAGTTCTGTGCCACTTGGTGTCTGTATCATATGCGGGAATTTCTTATTAAAAAAATAAATAGTAAAAAATAATGCCTCTGTTCCCTTTTTGGTATCACTTGAAGGTGTTGCCCATCATCCCTGTTTCCGTCTGCCTGTGCCTTTCCAAAGTGTGTCTTACAGATTTTAGCCCAACACTGCCAAGTTGTTTTTTAAAATATATGCCATACATTAGTCTTCAAAGAGTTCTTTGCTTTATACGGTGCAAAACACCGTGTAAATAGGTATTTGCTTTTTGAAGATTTTTTTTAGCAGGGCCTATTTTTCTAGCATTTTTGTGACCTCATAATTGGGATGATTTGGTAAAAGTTGTAACATTCAATTTGTTAAAAATAACCTTGTGAATCGGGCAGAATGGGGCAAGATGGTCAGACAGAACCCTTTACCAATTGTTCTCCTACAGGAACACCAGATTTAATAACTATCCACACAAAAAAGCACCTTCATAAAAACCGAAAATCAGGTGAGCAATCACAGTACCTGGCTTTAACTTCCTATCACTGAAAGAGGCATGGAAGAGGGTAGGAAAGACAATCTTGAATTGCTGATACCACCCCTTCCCCACCCCCAGCAGCCATGGGGCGCTGAGAGAGAATCTGTGTGCTTCGAGGCAGGAGAATGCAGTGATCATAGGACTTTGCATTGGAACTCAGTGCTGCCCTTGTCACAGTAGAAAGCAACACTGGGCAGAACTCAGCCAGTGCCCACGGAAGGAGCGTTTAGATCAGCCCTAGCCAGAGGGGAATTGCCCATCCTAGCATTGAGAACCTGAGTTCCAGCAAGCCTAGCCAGCACAGGCTAAAGTGCTCTGGGGTCCTAAATAAATTTGGAAGATAGTCTGGGCCACAAAGACTACAGTTCTTGGGCAAGTCCTGGTGTTGTGCTGGACTTGGAGCCAGTGGACTTGGGGGGCATGTGACCTAGTGAGACACCGGCCAAGGTAGCTAAGGGAGTGCTTGTGCCCCTCTTCCCCCAACCGCAGGCAGCACAGCATGCAGCTCCAGGAGAGGCTCCTTCCCTCCACTTGAGGAGAAGGAAGAGTCAGGAGGATTTGGTCTTGCAGTTTGGATCCCAGCCACAGTAGGGGCAGGGCACTGGGCGGAGTCCTGAGTTCCCCGTCACAGGCCCTAGTTCCAGGGCAAATTTCTAGACATACCCTGGGCCAGAAAGGAAGTTGCTACCTTGAAGGGAAGGACCCAGTTCTGGCAGGATTCGTTACCTACTAGCTAAAAAGCCCATGAGCCTTGAATAATTAGCAGCGTTACCCAGGCAGATAAGGAACTCTTTGAAGACTAATGTATGGCATATATTAAACTCCACATAAACAAAGTGGAGTACTATTCAACCAAAAAAAGAATGAAATCCTGTCATTTGCAACAACGTGGATGGAACTGGAGGTCATTATGTTACGTGAAGTAAGCCAAGCACAGAAAGACAAACTTCACATGTTCCCACTTAACTTGTGGGAGCTAAAAATTAAAACAGTGGAACTCATGGAGATAGAGAGTAGAAGGATGGTTACCAAACGCTGGGAAAGGTAGTGGTAAGAGTGGGGTATGGGGTGGGGAGATGGTTAATGGGTATACAAATATAGTTAGATAAAAATACATCTAGTATTTGACAGCACAACAGGGGACTACAGTCAACAGTAATTATACATTTTTAAATAACTCAGTATAATTAGATTGTAACACAATGAAAGGATAAATGCTTGAGGTGATAGATACCATATTTACCTGGATATAATTATTACTCATATGCTTGTATCAAAATATCTCATGCAACACATAAATGTATGTAATACTACGTGGCAACAAAAATGAAAAATGAAAAAAATAGCCTCACGATCAGCCTAGTGATTCTGAGGCAATATAGTTTTGATTAGTATTTTTTAATGTTATAGAAGGATGTTGTTAAAGTTTTTATTTGTTGCAAATACATCCCGAGTATACTTTTAAAAGTGTGTTAATATTGTATAGAAGTTTAAACGTGTAATCAGCTGACATAAATGTAAAAACTTGTGTTTTCTTCCATGTTTTTTAAACTTAGAAAAGTTATCTGGTTACTTAATATTTAGTCTCCTTTGTACCTACTTTTTGTAATTTGACTTTTTCCATTTTGTTATTTCTGCATAAGCTTCATAGAATGGAAATTTAATCATGGGTTTATAGTATGATTCTCAGTGTTAGCAGTTCCTTGAGCCAGGATATTACTTTATCCAGAGATGAGCAGGTTCTAGGGATCTGTCACTAACCAAACCTACAAGACTGGTTTATAAATCAGAGGCCAAGGATAACCAGTATTTGGGGGAGATACTTGTTAAGTCCATGTAAGAATACAAATTTCAGGTCACAGAGTTGCTTGACACACTCTTAGGATGATGGGAATTCTATGAATATTTACATCAAGTTAGGGTAACTGGATAGATTACTCTATCTTAAGAGATTTTTTGTGTGTGTGTAGATGGAATATCATGGTTAGATTGCCATAATCCTCCATAGCCAAAGACAGACTAATTGCTCTATGTATTTTTTTCACTTTTTTTCCCCTCTTTTAAGAAGGAATATGATTTTCTGTCTTTCAGAAACCTGAATTCCCCAATTTCTATATTCTTTCAGGATAATCACTCAAGTATTCTACAGTGGGGAAAGGAGACAGCCAAACTATTTTAAAGCCTTTTACAAATGAGTAGAGGTGGTAAATATTTGGGCTCTCTTAAGTTGACCTTTTGGCAGGAGGTCATTAATTCACTTTGGAGGGAGATAGGTTATTTGTAGTATTTATCATCAGGCTCAATTTTCCCCTATCTTACATTTTAGGGAGGAAATAATGCTGGCCATACAGTTGTTGTGGATTCTGTGGAATATGATTTTCATCTCTTACCCAGTGGAATAATTAATCCAAATGTCACTGCATTCATTGGTAAGTATATAAACTGAACTGCATGGAGATTCCCCCCCACCAGTTGATAATGGCGTTTATTTTTTATTGTCAAAACTGTTTTCATCTCTCACTGACCAGATGGTTCATTGATCTCTTATTAATTTTGACCTTGATACCTTCTGGAATATACATGACTTTGGCTATTTGTCACTGTAAGATCTTTTAACAGTAATACTTTTTGGAATGATTACTTTGCATTCATCTGTGCTCACTGACAATCTTAATTCTGTAAAGAAGTATTAGATCATTGAATCAGTTTTCCAAATACTTTTTTTTCCACAAATACTTTCAACCATGACTCATAGTAAGAAATATGAGAGGTTCATGAATTTATTTTGAACCCTTACAATAAATGATGCAATCTGATCTTTTCTACTCTCCTTTTAATTTTTAAAAATCCTTATCACAACCTACTAAATTGATTTATGACCACTAATAGGGTGTGATTCCCCAACTTGAAAGATACTGATTTAGCATGTACTGTGACCATGTTCCATTTGCTTAAAATTACATAATTAGTTTCCTTCAAAATCATATTTCACTTTGTTTTCAAGAAATTTTCAGCTTCATTGAGTATAATTCTAGTGTTTTATATTCACTATATTATGTTCCATTATGTATTTAAATTATACTCCTGTGTAAAACTTGGAATCATTTCTGTGGTAACACCGTGGTAAATCAGAATGTCCTTTAAGTTACATATGTCTGAGTTATAGATGTTTACCGTTGGGATTTGTTGGTTTTCCTTTAGGAAATGGTGTGGTAATTCATCTACCTGGATTGTTTGAAGAAGCAGAGAAAAATGTTCAAAAAGGAAAAGGTATGAAAGAATGAGTCTACTTGGTAACCAGTTGTTCTTTGTAAAGTTTTATTAGGATCTTATGCCAGACGAACAACATGTTTGTCTTATGCTTTAAAATTTCGGGCTATTATAGACGAATTTTTAATGTCAGTTATTAAGTTTTATTCATTATAAACAGTGTTTTAAACAGAAGACCAACATCTTATGTCATTGTATTAAGTCCTGATTTTTTTACACATTAGTCATCTACAAACTTTATCTTAAGATAGCTAGAATTACAATATGTGGGTGACAAAACTAGGAAATTCCTGAGTTTGCACACTGTCAGTCTTGTTTTCTAGAGGATCTGGAGCTCTCCTTTCGTTGCTACAACTCAGGGATAAAAGGGAATTTTTGTTTTTTCCCATGCTACACAGATGTAAGGGGAATCGTTTAGGTCCCTCCTTCTAAATGAAGTAAATGCTGCTTTTATACAATATATCCATGCCCATCTTCTTAAAATAAATAGTCCTGGATTCTTGCCTTTCCTGATCTCTTGGATTTTTAGAGATGTGTTTACATTAACCTTGGCCATCTCATTAGGGTGTGAGGGGAATTTGATAATACAAATACAGGTTAAACATCCGTAATACAAAAATCTGAAATCCAAAATGCTCCCAAAATCTGAAACTTTTTGAACACAGACATGACACCACAAGTGGAAAGTTCCATACCCGACCTCATGCAGCGAGTCACAGTCCAAACATAGGCACGCACACAGTTTATTCAGTGTTTCCAGGGGAAAAAAGGCCTTCTCCCCTTTCAGCTTTCATATATCTTTTCCATGCACGCCCAGATTCCCCCACACCAGCGTTCCCACAGAGGGCAATAAAGTGGCATGTGTACTAGCTGGATGTGCCAACTGTGGTAATAAATGAAATATAGAATACAGGTGGAGACTGGAAGCCTGCTTCGTTGTTGCTGCTGTTTGCCAGCTGATACAGATACTCTGGTGCTGCTGCTGTACTGCTTACTTACCCTGAACACATTTTTCCCACTGTATTGGTGGTATGTCATATTTTTGACTGTTAAGTACTTGTGTGTGAATAAGTGTAAGGAAATGATTACTCATCAGTAGCATATAAATTCAGAGTCAAGAATGTTGGTGTTGGTAAACAACCACAGATGGAGGAGGAAGAGGAGGATGGAGGAGGAAGAGAAGGATGGAGGTAGAGGAGGAGGATGAAGGAGGAAGAAGAGAAGGACAGAGGTGGAGGAGGATGAAGGAGGAAGAAGAGAAGGACAGAGGTAGAGGAGGAGGATGAAGGAGGAAGAGAAGGAGGAGGAAGAGGAAACAAACTTCGTTTCATGCACAAAATTATTTAAAATATTGTATAAAATTGCCTCAATTGATATGTAAGGTGTATATGAAACATAAATGAATTTCATGTATATATTTGAGCCCCACCCCCCAGAGATCTCATTATTTATATGCAGATATTCCAAAGTCCAAAAAAAATCTGAAATCTGAAATATTCTGGTATTTGGAATAAAGGAGACTCAACCTGTAATACATAATTGAGGAAAATCATTAGTATAGTTAGTTTCCCCTTGAATTAGCTCACATTTAAAACACTCAATTACTGTTATAGTATGTTCAGGTTTGTTTTTTTTTTTTTTTTTTTTTTTTTTTTTGGAGACGGAGTCTCTCTCTGTCACCCAGGCTGCAGTGCAGTGGCGTGATCTTGGCTCACTGCACCTTCTGCTTCGTGGGTCCAAGTGATTCTCCTGCCTCAGCTTTCTGAGTAGCTGGGACGATAGGCACGTGCCACCATGCCCAGCTAATTTTTTGTATTTTTAGTAGAGAAGGGGTTTCACCGTGTTAGCCAGGATGGTCTCAAACTCCTGACTTCGTGATCCACCTGCCTCGGCCTCCCAAGGTGCTGGGATTACAGATGTGAGCCACCGCGCCCCGCCCTGTTCAGGTTTAAAAGTAGCAATCTGTCTTCAGGTGTTCTTAACCACTACAGAACCCTGTCTTTGCTACCATCTCTTTTCTCCTTTCTGCGTTTTTACCTGTGACCTAGTCTGTGATTTTTATATTGATGCTGCTCTCTGCTCTCATCTCCTTTAATAAGTTTGTCCTACTCCCTTTTTCCTTCTAGCCTATCCAACCCTGCTCTTTATCTACTTTACTGAATTTCTTGGTCCTATTTTCTTTATTATATCTCCTAAACTAACTTCAGAATACATGTTTGTATGTCAAAACAACCGTAGAAGGGGAGGCTTAATATTCCAGGTTTACCTTTTAGCACATTACCGAGGAGGTTCTCTTCCTTAATCTATAAGGAATATATTTTAAAAATAAATCTTCAGGGAAAAACAAATTTTTCATTGTTAAAGATTAGTTTTGAAATGTTTGCAGCTTAGCAATTTGTCTTTAGTATTGTCTTTAAAGAAAAACATCGATTTGGGTTCATTTGTTCATTCAAGCGTCTTTTTTTTTTTTTGGAGACATGGTCTTGCTCTGTCGTCTATGCTGGAGTGCAGTGGTGTGAACACAGTAGTGAGCCTCTACCTTCTGGGCTCAAGCAGTCCTCCTGCTTCGGCCTCCCGAGTAGCTGGGACTGTAGGCACATGCCACCATGCCTGACTAGGTTTTTTAATTTTTTTTTTTTTTTTTTGTAGAGATGGGGTCTTTCTGTGTCACCCAGGCTGGTCTCAAACTCCAGGCCTCAAGCAATCCTCCTGCCTTGGTCACCCAAAGTGCTAGGATTATAGGCCACTGCTCTCAGCCAAAAGTAATTTTTAAAACCACTTACTGGATAACAGGCCCTGTGCTATGAAAGCTCACAGCCCCTCCTCTAGGTCTTCCACAGTTAAATGGGGGGACAGATATACCTCACAATTCACTGTAGTAAGTACAGTAATTGACAGTAGTACTTTAGAAGAATTAATGAAAAAGTTTATTTTCTTTACCTTTTTTTTTTTTTTTTTTTTTTTTAAAGATGGAGTCTTGCTCTGTTGCCAGGCTGGAGTGCAGTGGCACAATCTTGGCTCACTGCAGTCTCCGCCTCCCGGGTTCAAGTGATTCTCCTGCCTCAGCCTCCCGAGTAGCTGGGATTACAGGCGCCCGCCATCACGTACCCAGCTAATTTTTGTATTTTTAGTAAAGACGGGGTTTCACCATGTTGGTCAGGATGGTCTCGATCTCCTGACCTCAGGTGATCCGCCCGCCTTGGCCTCCCAAAGTGCTGGGATTACAGGCGTAAGCCACCGCACCCAGCCCATATTTGTTATAACTATCTTTTGGGAAAGGATGCCATTCCTAAAATTAACTCCCTTCTGGCAAATTTCTCCCTGCCAGGTACCTAACCTCCCCAGCATGATGTTTTTCTACCATTTGCCTTTTGGATTCCTAGAAGTATTTTATTTGGATGTGACTGGTTTGAATTTGGAGCTTTTAGAGCAAGACATTTGGAAAGATAGCATGTGAGTGAATTTATGTATGGAATGAATGACATGTGAGAAAACTCTTGTTAGACATGATGTTTCCTATACAGAAGAAAAGATACAAACTTGATTGCTTCAGTAAAAACACTTTTAGAGATTGTGTTTCCTTTTTTGTGAGACAGCATCTCGCTCCGCCACATACACTGGAGTGTAGTGGCACAATCTTGGCTTACTGCAACCTCTGCCTCCTGGGTTCAAGTGATTCTCGTGCCACAGCTACCCGAGTAGCTGGGATTAGATGCACCCACCACCACACCCAGCTAATTTCGTATTTTTAGTAGAGACGGGGTTTTACCATGTTGACCAGGCTGGTCTCGAACCCCTGGCCTCAAGTGATCCACCTGCCTTGGCCTCCCACAGTGTTGGGATTACAGGTGTTAGCCACCACGCCTGGCCTAGACATATTTCTAAAGAAATTAAGATCTTAGGCTGAGGTGGGTGGATCACAAGGTCAGGAGATCGAGACCATCCTGGCTAACACGGTGAAACCCAGTCTCTACTAAAATTACAAAAAAAAAATTAGCCAGGTGTGGTGGCGGGTGCCTGTAGTCCCAACTACTTGGGAGGCTGAGGCAGGAGAATGGCAGTGAACCCGGGAGGTGGAGCTTGCAGTGAGCCGAGATCACACCACTGCACTCCAGCCTGGGTGACAGAGCGAGACTCTGTCTCAAAAAAAAAAAAAAAAAAAAAGAAATTAAGATTTTAAAACTGCTATACAAAATATTCAATTAAATATATCTTTTTCCCCTTTCTAGGACTAGAAGGCTGGGAAAAAAGGCTTATTATATCTGACAGAGCTCATATTGGTAAGGTGGATATATTGCATTTATTTGTAACTATCTTTTTATCTGAAATTTATCAAATGAAAGTATTTAGTAACTAATTTTGTCTTTTATTTTTATTTAGCGTAAGTAGGATGGATTGTAGTAATTGAGTTCTAAATACAAAAAATACTTACTAATTTTTTTCTTTTTTAACAGTCTAGGCTGAAATTTACCTGTTTGAAAAAAAGGTTAGCTAAGCAAATTTATAATACAAGCAGTATTTCATAAGACATCTCTAATTCTATTTAAAAATAAGCCATATCAAAATGCAAAGAACATTTATTTGTATACGTAATATTCTTGTAAAAGTAAGTGTACCGTTTTGCAGATAGAGTGACTCTTTGTGCCTAAAATGTAGTAGTTATTGCTTTTTAAGTGATTCAGATTTTATTCAGACTAACCTAAATTTCAACCACTACCAATAAATTTGGGATTTTCTTCTCTGTTATTTTTCTCTTTCAGAACCAATGGAGTTGTTAATTAGCAGTGACATGATTTAAGAGACAATAACCAGAAAAGAAATAAGTAAAAACCACGTAGGAAACTTCTCTGTGATTGATCTGCACTCTTAAATTGTATTTAAGTATGCGTGTGTCCTGTGGCAGTAGCTGCTCTAGTTTTAACACTGGCCTCTATTTAAAAGGCAGCCTCATCAAGATACTTACAGTATTTCTCAGCCAAGCACAGAAATCAAATAACGGTCCCTCCAGATAACAGCCACAGACTTGAATCCTATGTATAATCTTAGTAACCCAATAAAATAACTTATTTGAAGTAAACTCTATTGGATTAACATACAGTTTCTATATGAAACTGGCCTCTTCATTACATTGTTTGCCACAGGCTTCTTAATCTGTAAAGTCTGAAAAGAACAATTTTTTGTTTTTACTGAAAAACAGTTTTATGTTAATATTTGTTGTCCTGTATGTTGTCTATTAGTAGACTGGTTATCCTTGAAAACAAAGACTTTGATAGCTGTTTGTTAGTGTAAGTGGATAAAATGTGGAATACTTCTGTATTTAACATAAAGTAAGCTTGTGAGTAGTTTATATTTCACCTGATTATACTTAAACTATGAAAATATTATCAGTAAAACTTTTATTTAAAAGACACCTTATTTCCAGAATTATTAATGGCATAGATGCATAACCAAGACAAAAAACAAAGGAAACAAAGAAGCTTTGCAGTCCCAAATGATAACATGCAATTTGGATAAGGACAAAAGGGTTTTGTTTTGGTTTTCAGAAGAAGGAGGTTGTCATTTTTGTTGCCTATTTTAAGCTTCTGATTTTAAAAATATTTATATTTTGTTTGTTAGCTTATCTTAGAACTTGAATTTTAAACTTATATATCACTATTGTGCTATAATATAGGAAGCAATAGAGTATTACTAATATTCTTTTTTTTTTAGACAGAGTCTCACTTTGTCACCCAGGCTGGAGTGCAGTGGGGTGATCTCAGCTCACTGCAACCTCTGCCTCCCGGGTTCAAGTGATTCTTCTGCCTCAGCCTCCTGAGTATCTGGGATTACAGGTGTGCTACCATGCCCAGCTAATTTTTGTATTTTTAGTGGAGACAGGGTTTCACTTGTTGGTCAGGCTGGTCTTGAACTCCTGACCTTAGGTGACCTGCCTACCTTGGCCGCCCAAAGTGCTGGGATTACAGGCGTGAGCCACTGCATCCGGCCCAACTAATATTCTTTCTTACTGGCAGTCTCCTAGTTATATAAGGAAAAATATGTTTTTGTGAAGTACTTTTGTAGCATTTTTGTTTGCTTACACTTACTACTCATTAGCTTTATTTATTCTGTTACCAATAGTCATCTTTATCTTCTTTTACCTTCATGATTTTATGTGTAGCTTTTTGGTATCCATTGTTCCTGTTGTGGATAAAGCAAGGCGCTGCATTAGATAATGAAAACCACTGCTTATCTTCAGAACTTTCCAATGGCTTTTTGTTATGTTGTCTGCTCTGTGAAATTCAGTATCTTAATCAGCATACCGCAATTTAGGATTGCAAAACAGAATAATCCCTAACACCTGCCGTTTGAATAACGTATAGCATCAGTGTATATAATCAGATAATTGGGCTATGTGCAGATATAAATATACGCTGATGATATCAGCCTGTTGGAAAGAGGTTAGTGTTAAGAGACATATCCCTGTTCCTGTCTGGATTCTCCATCTTCCTTCTTCATTGCAATTGCTTTGGGTCTGTCACTTAACAGTTCCATCCTTGGTACAACATAGAGGTTAAGCAAGTTACTTAATTACTTTAGACCACCAAAACAAAACAACAAAGTAGTAATGGGAAGGGGTCAAAAGGCCTAGAGTAAAAGGAAAGTAATGTGGTTTAACCATAATAAATGTAAATGAATATTATTATTTTATTTATAGTTATATTTCTTTAATTATTTTTTCCCATAAGTGTATGACCTTAAAGGAAAGTATTTCTGACAGAGGACTGAGCCTGTAGAAGATAAGCGCAGACTGAAATGTAGGTGTTAGTGGTCATATGTGTCATAATGGGTGTGTTAATGCTTTAAAACGTATATCACTAAAAGCCTGTAAGGTTCACTTCCCAGGGCCCTTAAAAAGTCTTATAAGAAACATATTTTTTATTTTATTTTATTTTATTATTTTTTTGAGACAGGGTCTCATTCTGTCACCCAGGCGGGAGTGCAATGGCATGATCTTGGTTCACTACAACCTCCACCTCCTGGGTTCAAGCGATTCTCGTGCCTCAGCCTCCTGAGTAGCTGGGATTACAGGCATGTCCCACCATGCCCGGCTTATTTTTTTGTGTTTTTAGTAGAGACAGGGTTTTACCATGTTGGCCAGGCTGGTCTTGAACTCCTGACCTCAAATGATCCACCTGACCTGGCCTCCCAATTACAGGCGTGAGCCACGGCCCGGCCAGAAACATGTATTTTAGTATAGTCAATTCTATAATAGTGAAAAGGAATAAATAGTATCATTAAAAAATCAAATAACTAATTGGAAAATTGTCTGAGAATCGTTGCTGTGAAACCACTTCGATCTTTGCTTTAGAGACTCCCGCTGTCACCATGGCACTGAACGGACAGTTCTGTAAGCTCCATTGTAATTTAAGGCATTAGAATTCTCATTTCAGAACTGAATACAGGATCTGGCATATAGATGCTTCAGAATGTTCATTTATTTCCAAGGATTTAAAAAATTTTCCATAATATGAGATTCTGTATAAAAGTGTGCTGGGTGATATGGAGCGTAGTACAATGGAAAAAACTATAGGCTTTGAAATGGAGGGATCTGGATCGAAATCTTGATTATGGATCCTCTGGCAAGTGATTTCCTTTCCGGTCATTAGTTCCCCAATCAGTAAAACACCTTACACAGGTTGTGTCCACAAAGGAAAGAATTTTATTTATTTTATTCATATATGTATACACCCAACAGCTAATTTAAGTGCTGTACTTGGTCAAGATGTACTGTTTTTTATCCTGACAAATACTGCTCTGTAGTTTTCTTTAGTTTTGTTGTCTGTTTCAGTTTTAGTGCCTTCTATTTTTCTGAAAGTTATGTGTGAGGTTGGTAATATTTCTTCTTTAAATGTTTTATAGAAAATCTTTGTGAGGAAGTTTTTATGAATTCCATGAATGTTATGAATTTTATTTCTTTAATAGATATCGGGATATTCAGATTTTTCTGTTTCTTGTGTCAGTTTTAGATATTTATGTTTTCTAAAGAAATGTGTTCATCTAACTTATGAAATTATTGGTAACTTTTTTAGTCTTCAGTAATGTCCCTCTTTTATTCCTGGTATCCATTTTATTGATTTTGTGGGTTTTTGATTTTTTTTTCCCCAAAAAATAACCATTTTCTCTATTTTCTGTTTCACTGGGTTCAGCTCTTTCTCTTCTTTCTACTTTCTTTGGTTTAAATTTGCTCGTTTTTGTAGTTCCTTTAGAAGCTTGGATCATGAACTCTCAACCAACTGACCTCCCTCCCTCCCTCTCTCTCTCCCTCCCTTCCTTCCTTCCTTCCTTCTTTGCTTCCTCTTTCTTTTCTAATGTAAGCATTTAAAATTACATGTGTTCCTCTAACACATGTAATTATGTTAGCGATATTCCGCAAATATTATTTTTACAATCATTTCCATTCAGTTCAAAATAACATAATTTCTATTTTAACTTATAAGTTGAGTATGATGTTCATGTTTCCAAATATTGGAAGATTTTCATGATTTCTCTCTATTATTTATAATTTAATTTTATTGTGAACAGAGAATATGTATGATCCTAATCTTTGTTGAGACTTCTTTTATGGCTCAGGATGTGGTCTGTTTTGGATAATGTCTTCATGCACTTAGAAAGAATATGTGCTCTGCTCTTGTTGAGTAGAGTGTTCTTTAAATGCCAATTAAATCAAATTGTTTGATAGTGTTGTTCAAATCCTATATCCCAACTGATTTTCTATGTGTGTATTCTATCAGTTACTCGGAGGAGTGCTGAACCTCCAACAGTAATTGTGGATTTGTCTGTTTCTCTTTTCAAGTCAGTCAGTTTTTGCTTCATGCACATTGAAGCTCTGTTAGGTACATGTATGTTTACAATTCTGATTTTGATGCATTGAACCTTTCCTCATTATGAAATATCCTCTTTGGTATTAACAACCATAGCTTTTTATGATCAACAGGTTTCCCTGGTACTGTTAGTAGGAAAGTTTTGATGCTGTATATACTAATTAGTTACACTTCAGAAGCTAAATTTGTATTATGTGATTTAAAAGTATCTAATAAGCTATGATTGTTAATACCACAATATCCTTTTTATGGTAATATTCCTTATTCTGATATCTACTTTGATATTAATATAGCCACTAGAGTTGCCTTAAGATTACTGTTTGCATGGTGTATCGCTTTCCATCCTCTAATAATCCTTAGTGTATCTGTGTCTTTAGATTTATAATGTATTTCTTATAGACAAAATGTAGGTGGGTCTTGCATTTTATTCATTGTGACAATTTCATCCTTTAATTGGAATGTTTAGACTAGTTACTTTTACTATAGTTAATTATCACTATGGTTGGATTTATGTCTGCCCTTCGTTTTCTTTTTATTTGTTCTTTTCCTGCTTTCTTTTCGATTGAACATTTTTAATATTATCTCCACTGTTAACTTACTAGCTATACCTCTTGTTTTATGAATTTATGAATTTTGGTAGTTGCTCTAGGGGCTGTAATATGCATCTTTTACGTTACTTGAGTTACCTTCAAATATTTCACTTAGAAGGTTTAAACAGTTGATTTTTTTAAGGAAACTTAAAAATTATTAAGTTGCTGGCCAGTTCTTTACATTAGTATACTAATGCAAGGACCTATTGCATTAACCTTTTGCCCTGTTCACTGAATCTCATAATTCAGTTTGTACTATAAGAGATGCTTTTTCAGGGAAAATGGCCTGAGAAGTGGTTGAGACACTTAAAATTTAAATATGAAATCCAGATTAGTTAGGTGGCTGTTCTTTTATTTAATATCTATGTATTAAATGCCTACTGTGTCAGGTATGGTGCTGAGCACTAAGGATTCAGCAGTAGAAAAAACCAAAAGCATCCCTTAATGGAGCATATCATGTATTAGTGAAAACAAATCATATCAATAGAAATATGTAATCGATGTAGCATGGCATATAGTGCTCAGTTCTGAGGAGAAATAGTAACTCAGAGAAAGGAGCTAGGCAATGGCAGGCAGTTTGGAGGAGGAGGTAGGGGCCTACAATTGTATATAATGTGGCCAGGGAGGTTTCACTGAAAAGTGACAGTTGAGTAAAGACCTCAGGGAGATGTGAGAAAGCAAGCAAAGTGGCTATTACATGTACCAAGTCTCACACCAAGCATAGTATAACATTAATCATATTAATAAAACTTAACTATAATAGTAAATTAAAAATTTAAAAATGCTGTTAATAAACTTAGCTAAAGGTGCACAGTTATGATGGTTTTTTTTGTTTGCAGTATCTAGGCTGTAGAAAGTGAAACAGATATTCCAAGGCTGTTCTTTCAAAACAGTAATAGTGGAGGCATTAATGCTCCATGCCATGGTGAAGTCTTATGAAAGTAATTATTCTGATTACAGTAATTGCTTCCTGGGGCCTAGAAAAACCAAGGAAAGCATTAGTTCTATGACAAGGTACTAAATTAATTTCTGAAAAATATGGTTCACCTGCTTTCCATCAACCATTTATTTGTGTGTTGTCAGTTGCTTTTTTACTTTCTTTGAGCATAGAAAACAAAACATTTACATTCAAATGTCTTTTTATTCAAAAGAAATGAGAATGGCGTACTCTAAGATCTCAGTCTTGTCATGACTGATTTGCAAAATCAGGGTTTAAAACAGCCCTTCAGAACTATTCTGGCCTCTCAAGTAACTGAGAAAGACTATTGCTTGGGCAATAAAATGGGAACATGATGATAAACTAACCCTTATAGCTCAGAATTATTGTTTACATAAAGAGTATTTATTCTTTTTCATTGCTATATAGTATCCCCTTATATGACCATTTCACACTTTTAAAAATCCATTCATTCTACCATTGATGAAAATTTGAGTTGTTTCCAATATTGGGATATTACAAATACTATTACCCTGAGCATTCTTGTAGATAGATATCTTTTGGTGTGCAGTATACTGATATGGCTTTAAAGATGTTACTTTTATCTAACTGTGTGGCACTAAGACAGATACTGCTTACTAGATATTTTTAAATCACACATATTTAGCTTCTGAAATATAACTAATTAGTATGTACAGCATCAAAACTTTTCTACTAACACACCAGGGAAACCTTTGATCATAAAAAGATATGATTGTTAACCTTGCCAAACACAGGGGGAGGACTGCCTTGATAGTTTTAGTAGTGTCTCAAAAGGAGGGAATTAGAGAAGAGTACATACATGGTTTTAGGGGCAGGGTTAATCAGAGGATGGGTTTAGATTGGGTTATCAGACTTTTCTAGCTTCACCATCTATAACTTCAGTATCAGTCTTCTAATAGTTCTAAATAGTTCTTTTACAGATGCTACCACTAATCCCAAGAACCTTATATCAGTCTTTCTGTTAAACATCTACACATTTCAACTTAATTATTTGGAAACAGTGACATCATTAGCAAAAAGAAGCTATGGTTAAATATGCTAAAAATCAGTAAATTGTACATCTTAAATGGATGAATTTTGTGGTGTATAAATTATATTCCCATAAAGCTGTTTAAAAACAAAACAGAAAACAAGAAGCCTTGGTTAGAAGTTCAGAGACCAAAATTCTAGTTTTGCCTCTTCTATAAACCATCTATTTATTGAGTCAGTAAATATTTGAGGACATGTTTGCACCGGAAATCAACTAGTAGGCTGAACTGACATGATCCTAATACTCTCAGAGCATTGGCAGGGGAGAGAGGGAGTACAAGTTATGTGTAGGTGTAGAAAGAGGCAATATTTCATGCAGAAGTACATGCCTTGTAGCTGAGGGCTGCAAAGAATGCCAGTGTGACCAGAGGGCAGTGAGGGTGGCAGAGCATGGTATAAGATGAAAGTGTAGACTGAATTTTGTCTCTTTTTTTAGAGCAGTGGAAAGCCATGGAGTTTTAAGGGCAGGGGAGGTGTGAATGCCATATTTGTGTCTTGGAAAGATGGCTTTGGCTGCATGACAGCATTTGGATTAGAGATGTCTAAGAATGGAAAGAGGTACACACATTAGGAGACTGCAGTTTTGGTGAGAGGTGATGGAAGCTCGAGACTAGTGAGGAAAAGGGAGGTGTCAACATGAGCCCTAGATTCTTGGAGTCCAGAACTTGAAGAAAAAAGAGTATTTTTGTAAATTGACCTTTGTTAAATTTTAGGGCAAGATGTTTCAAAATTACCCTCTTAATGACTTATTTTTTAAAATAGTATAGACTGCAATAAATAAGAACGAAAGATCAGACATTTTCATATTAATGTACTAGTTGGTGTTATAAACTTCTATCATCACTTCTAAAAATGTGTTTAATTTATTATACTGAAATGAGGCTGAAGGGATTTATAACTTCAGTAATTTGAAATGCGGTGGATTTTGCTTTTGTGTATTATCTTTGTTTCAACAACTGTGGTTTTATTTCCCCTCAGTATTTGATTTTCATCAAGCAGCTGATGGTATCCAGGAACAACAGAGACAAGAACAAGCAGGAAAAAAGTATGTGTGGGTTTTTGTTTTTTTGGTACAGTTTAAGCATATGCAGACCTTTATATTTTAGTTCTAGACCAGAAGTTTAAGAAAAATAAGTATTAGAATATCCTGTTTTAGAGAAAATCAGTAGGATTATGAACATATACTTAGCAAGAAATAACATAAACAGAAAATAGTCATATGTAACTTTATTCACTGCAATGATCTGACCAGGAGACCTACATCTTTCTTGTCTGACTTAAAGCTTGTTTGGATTTGTTTTTAAGTTTGGGTACAACAAAAAAGGGCATTGGCCCAGTTTATTCGTCCAAAGCTGCTCGGAGTGGACTCAGGATGTGCGACCTTGTTTCTGACTTTGATGGCTTCTCTGAGAGGTAACTAACTTGTGTTTCAAAATGGAAGGAATGAATGCATTTTTTGATTTTTTTTAAAATCTAGGGTGCAAAATGATACAGTCGGTATTCTAGTTAAATAGTGGTGGTTGGCTTTTTTAGGTTTGAAATATTAAAGTTATTTTTATTACATTCTAATTCATCCTTGGTTACAGATTAACTTCATGAAATATAACATGACGGTGATTTAATAGAATGTCCTAAGAAGACAAAGCCAGAGTTATATTTAAGAATTGAAATATGGAATGGTTTCCTGAGAAATAGAATGATTCCAGGGGCTGTGGCTGTCCTTGGGTGGTTACATTCTAAGGTCTTGATCCTTGCATTTTCAGGCCTAGAGACTCCTTATGTCCTCCCACCCAGAAATCATTAGCTCTCAGATACTGGTGAATTATTGTATACCAAGCTCAACTTGAAATCAACAGATGCTACGTTAACACATGCTTTCTGTAGCCAGATCTCCTTGGGAAACCTAGTAGTCATCAAAAAGCTACTCAGTGACTCAATGATAGGGAGTTGGTTGTGTATAATAACAAGTGGCATCAAAGCTATAATGACATTGTATCCCCTTTCGATCAACCACTCAACATTTGTCTGCACTGGCAGTGCACCTTTACTGAAGAATATTAGATTGCTAATGTCTGCCTCTCTCTCTTTTAGAAGTATCATGTAAACTGCCCCCTTTTGTTGTTGTACAGTATAATACAGTTAATTCAGATTTAAGTCTTTTGTGTTTACAGATTTTAGTCATTCCATTTCTCTTCCCTCCCTACACACATATCACCTTAATTATATTGTTGCTATGCCTAAACTTGAGTAAAAAAATAATTTGAATGTCTTACTTATTCATATGGCTGATCTCCTTTATTAAATTTTATTTCTCAGAAGGTGACTTCAGTTTCAGGATTAATTTGCTGTTAAGATCATTTACCATCTGCAGAAACCATTTGAATGAAATGATATTATTTGAAATATTTTTCACAGAGTGGTAATGTCTTGATTTATCTGTGTTTCTCAGGTTTAAAGTTCTAGCTAACCAATACAAATCTATATACCCCACTTTGGAAATAGACATTGAAGGTGAATTACAAAAACTCAAGGTAATGCTTTCTGGCATCTTTAATGTTCTTTTTAATACTTGTTTGCCAAATTGGCATCTAGATCTTTTCATTCATGCAGGCTTTGGGTAAGAACTGGCAAAGGAAATTGTTTGTCTTGGACATGGTATGTTTGAGTGACTTTACATGATATGGCTTAGACAAAATATTGAGTAGGGAGCAGGAGGAGTACCTGAAGTAAAGGAGACAGAGTCCAGATCATATGTCTCATGTGCAGTGACAGGGAGTTTAGATCTTACCCTGGAGATAATGAAAAGCTACTAGGAAATTTTGAACAGAAAGGAGACTAGATTTGCATCATATAAAAATCACTTCTAACAATTGGAGGACAGATCAGCAAAGGCTGAGTGAGAACTTTTGAGGCTAACCAACCCATTTAGGAAGGATAACCCCATAGGGCCAGATTCTTTAGCACTGCACTCTTAAGAGACAAATAAGGTAATTGACCAAAGATTAGTCTTTTCTTGGCAACTAGTAGGTGTCAGTGGTGCTTACATTGGCCAGTAGTTGAAATTCCTGTCCTCTTCATTCTTTCACCTTTTACGATTTTTGATGAACTTCAAACTGTTTCCTGTGAATCTGATTATTACTTCTTCTCATCTATAGATAAGTATCAATATCAGTTCCAGAACTAAGTAGGAATCTACAAACCTCATATGCCATTCTAGAATAAATGCAGACCTTAGGTCTGCCCATCCACTAAGTTCTAAAAAAATATGACCTACAAAGAACATTCTAAATGTTAGGTATTTGTATTTCAGTGCACTGATTATTGTGTAGAATAGACTGCCATTTTCTTTTTATTCAGCTATGCAATAAATATTTTATTTTATTTTATTTTTTGAGACAGGGTCTCGCTTTGTCACTCAGGCTGGAGTACAGTGGCATGAACACAGCTCACTGCAGCCTTGACTTTCTAGGCTCAAGGGATCCTCCCTCCTCAGCCTCCCGAGTAGCTGGGACTATGGGCACACCACCACACCCTGCTAGGTTTTTTTTTGGTAGAGATGGGTTTTCACCATGTTGCCCAGGCTGGTCTTGAACGCCTGAGCTAAAGCAGTCTGCCTGCCTTGGCCTCCCAAAGTGCTGGGGTTACAGGCATGAGCTACCATACCCAGTCTGTTATGCAACAAATATTTTAACTTTTTGACTAGCAACTTGGAAGTATTTACTTGCCAAACTATGAGTATGGCTTTTCAATTCCATTTTATATGTGTTCCATGTGAATGTAAAGTAGGTGAAGAATAATAAATAGAATTAGGTAAGAAGATTCTTATAGGTAATGTATGTTGAACCAGAATTTTAAGGAACAAAGAACGTGATGACTAGTGTGGTCATTTCAGGCATAAAAATAGGACTAAAACAGGAATCAGTCAGAAATTGAAGACTATAGCCCATGAGTGATCATACATTTATCAGTGGGTATTAACACACTCAGGTGGGTTCATGAGTAGATTCTGGAATTTCCATAATAGTCTACATATTTAAACATAGTTGAACCTAGGTTTCATGCAGTTATGCTATAGGCCTTAGGGGAAGCTCTTGGTTATTTTACATTTTTAATTGAGTTCTGAAGTTAAGCAGTAATACTAACAATTAAATGTTTTGAGAAATTTTTATAATGCCCATGTGTTACATAGTATTGGACATTATCTACTAGTAATAGTGTAGAGATAGACATGTTACAGTAATAGGATAAAATTTAAAAGAATAACAGTAATCAATCACTAATAGTTGCATACTTGGCAGTGTAACTCGTGGCCCTGGCAGTGTAACTCGTGGCCCTCACCACATTTTGAGAATCACTGATGCAAGTTTCAAAATTCATGGTTGGCCAAACACAGTGGCTTACACCTGTAATTCAGCACTTTGGAGGCTGAGGTGGGAGGATCACTTGAGAACAGCCTGGGCAACCTGGGCAACTCACCTCCACCAAAAGAAAAAGAAAAAAATTTAGGTGGTCATGGTGGTAGTGCAGCTACCCAGGAGGCTGTGGTGGGAGGATCGCTTGAGCCTGGGAGGTCGAGGCTGCAAGTGAGCCATGTTCCCACCACTGTACTTCAGCCTGGGTGACAGAGCAAGGCTCTGTCTCAAAAAATGAAATAAAATAAAAAATTTATGGTTTTGTGGATTATATTATAAATGCAGCTTTTCAAATACCTCACAAAATTTAAAAGCACATTGTAATATAGTCATTTATTTTTATTTTCCTGAAAGCTGGTTTATGAAGTATGACTACTTTGCTGGGAGGGTTTTATTTGCAGTGAGGTTAATATAGAACCTTTGAATTTCACTGTATCTCTAGTTTTTGTTGAGCAATGCTCTTTTCTGTTCCTGGAAAATCAGCATGAGACATGAAAGCTAATCCAAATGTTACAATAGAGTGAGCACCGTCACCAGCCCTTTTCTACTTTGCGTTTGTCAGTTTTCATGTCATAAAGTCAGGTAATTTATTCTTGTTCTGGTTATGTTAAACGTTTATTAGTATACATGGAAATTGGTTTTTGTCTTTGTGTATAGGGTTATATGGAAAAGATTAAACCAATGGTGAGAGATGGAGTTTATTTTCTATATGAGGCCCTACATGGACCACCAAAGAAAATCTTGGTAGAAGGTGCAAATGCAGCACTATTAGATATTGATTTTGGTAAGTGAGATATGACTTATAGTTAAGGGAGCTTAACTGAGCCCTAAGTAGTTAAAATATAAATAATTAATGTTAGCATTAAGGAGTTTTAAAACAATGTTTTTAGCTTGTATATTCAGGAATGATGAAATTTGTCATCTTGTGGCACTCTTTTTAAAGGAATATTGCAGAACACACAATACATGTGTTACGTTCCCTATTTTATTAGAAAAATAAAATCATCATTTGAGTTCAGTAGGTCTGAGGTTCTGTAAATTGTGGTTTTCGTTGGTTTATGGTTCAAACCCTGGAACTATAAGATAAGATAAATTCTATGGAAGAATCTGCATCTTTAATTCAACCTTTTAAAAATGTGTACATTATTATTAAGCAAGATTTATAAAAGCCTATTTATATAAATTAACTCCCTGGGCATGAGACTCTGAATTCAGAGCATTTCCTTCATCTTCAAAAGGTTAATTAATGCTTAACTTCTTTTGTCAAACTACTGCCTCATTAGTTTGTTGACCGTTTCATTTAAACATGATTTCTCATGATTAGTCTGATTGTTCTCAGCTTTTACTGACATTTCATTGGCTTTTACTGACATTTCATTGGCTTTTGACTCCAAGTAAACTATTAAAGAAAGTGTATTTCTGTATGGTAGATATGTATTTTTGATACCATAGTATGTCTAGCCAGTCTGGAAAGAAAACAGAGTGTCTACTTGGTAGAGTGAATAGTTAAATATGAAGGAGATCTTTGGGGGTGAGAAAGTATGCCACTCTTTAATTAGCTCTTATAATTGGAGGGTTATTCCCTGAGTAGAGATTAAAAGCTGGGGAAATGTTGAATCCTACAAAATTCTTGTGTTGCCGTCACTCCAGGTTGCTACAACACTTTAAATATTCGTATGAGGGAGTCATATTTGTTTTACACTAACAGGAAACTATGAAAATAAGTAGATGAGTTTCAGCATTAAATTTCTTCATAATCCAGTAAGTGAGTAGCTGCTATAAAGAGCTGAGTCAGTAACTGTACATGCATTCAAGGAGCCTCTCTGTATAAGCACTTGCGTTAAAGCTCTGACCTCGTTTTTATGTCATTACAGCTAAAATGAATAAAAAGTAAAACACTGAGTCTTTGAGAGGGCAGTTACAGTTCAGATCTGTTAGATACCTATAATATACTCAAATGCAGAATTGTAACGGTAATTCTGTTTTAAAATGTGTTATTCATGTGTCTACTATATTTTAATGTCTGTTTCTGTTTTTAGGGACTTACCCTTTTGTAACCTCTTCAAATTGTACTGTTGGAGGTGTTTGTACTGGTTTGGGTATGCCACCTCAAAATGTTGGAGAAGTGTATGGAGTTGTGAAAGCTTATACAACTAGAGTTGGTATTGGTGCCTTTCCTACAGAGCAAGACAATGTAAGCCTATTCTAAGTAAATAATCAAAATGTATTAAAAATTCATTCTTCTTTTTTTTCTTAATGAATTATTGTCTCCTGTGCCTTTCACTTAATTTGCAAGATTGGTCAGAACAACATTTTCTTAAATACATAATTTTGGCTGGACGTGGTGGCCCCTGTCTGTAATCCCAGTGCTTTGGGAGGCAGAGGCAGGCAGATCACTTGAGCCCAGGAGTTCAAGATCAGCTGGGGCAACATGTTGAAACCCTGTCACTACAAAAAATACAAACATTAGCTGGGTGTGGTGGCATGCACCTGTAGTCCCAGCTACTGGGGAAGCTGAGTAGGAGGATCACTTGAGCCCAGGAAGCAGAGGTTGCAGTGAGCTGAGATGGCACCATGGCACTCCAGCCGGCGCAACAGAGCGAGACTCTGTCTCAAAAGATAAAATAAAGTCAACAAAAATAAACAAAAACTATGTAATTATAATGATGCCAGAATATAAGAGATAATGAAATGATAGCTTTAAGCAGAAAGGGGCAAATCAAGGACTTCGGTAGATCATAGGAAAAACAAGTTGTAGGGAGTGACCTTAGCTTAGATATTTGAGCATGTTTTCGATCTTAGTTTTCTTCAGAAGGGCATTATGATATCAATGACTTATTAGATACATTTGCCTTATGGTTTTCAGGAAAAGCATCAAACTACAGCTCTTGGAAGAACTGGCTGGATTCGTCTATTTAATAAATACTTTTTTTTCTTAATCTGTCAATCTAAATTTTAGGAAGTTATCTGTATAACATTGTAAAAAATATTAACATAAAAAAATGATAATAAATGAAGCATTCCAAATAATGCCTCCCTCAGATAAAATTCATCATCTCTGTGGAATTCTATCTTCAATTTAGTTATTACCTGAAAGATGTTTATCTCAAAGAGGCTTTGCTATGATCTCTAGCATATATTATTCCACCAGATATATAGCACTGCTATTCTAATCCTAAAGTTCAATTTTCTGTTCTGTAGGAAATTGGAGAATTATTACAAACAAGGGGTAGAGAGTTTGGTGTAACTACTGGAAGGAAAAGAAGATGTGGCTGGTTGGACCTCGTTTTGCTCAAATATGCTCATATGATCAATGGATTTACTGCGTGAGTATTCTTCAGAAACATTTATTTCAGGAAATCATAGATGATTAATGGCCATAGGTTTAATTTTGTGGAGTACCTTAATAGGAAAATTTCACTCTTTAGACTCCATATTGAAATTGTAGTGCCAGGCAGAAGTAGACCAAGATATAGGGGGAAGGGTACACAAGGAGAGAGATCCCAAGTTATCCTCCTAGACATCCAAGGTTGTTGAAAAGAATCGTGATACTCTAAGTATAGAGGCAGGCAGAATAGGGTATGTAGGCAGATAGGTGGACAGATAGACAGGTGGGTAGCACAGACACCATGAGCATGTACAGCCGGGAGGCGATGTACCTAGTGATCCGCGCATGGGCTTAATGTCTGAGTTCCTGGATTCAGATCTCAGATCTGTGCATTATGCTTGTGTAGCTGAGCAAGTTAATCATCCTCTGCCTCTGTTTTATCCTCTCTGAAATCTATATAACAGCATTACCTACTTCATAGGGGTATTTTAAAAATTAGGTGAGAAACGTAGTGAGAGCCTATAGCACACTGCCTGGCTAACTGAAAGTGCTCAGGGAAAGTTAAGTTGTTATTAATACGTATACATGAATAGGTAAATAAATGTATTCATATCTGTATTAGACTGAACTTCCAGTAAATAACAATAAAGTTAAAAATACAGTTTTTGGACGAGAATCCCAAATTTAGTTTGTTATCTAATTTCTGCAGATTTTCTCTTTAAAACCTGTTTTCCAGTCAGTTTGTCGGGAAATTTTGATGTATCATGAAGAGGTCCTTGATGTGGTTTTTCTCACTCTTTGACAATTTCTGACCAGAAGGGTAGAGGTGATGGTAACCAGAGTGAAGAATTGAGGGATGCTGGCATGTGTGTAAATGTACATGTATCTTAATCATCCATGTAGTGTAGTGAGTTCTGCTGTGTTCCACGGCCACAGTGCAACCTTAACTCCAGGCAGCCCTCCCACAAATACATGTTGTTTGTTCATCAATCATAAGAAAGCTGATCTGGGCATGGTGGCTCATGCGTATAATCCCAGCACTTTGGGAGGCCGAGAGGCAGGAGGATCACTTGAGGCTGGGAGTTCGAGACCAGCCTGGGCAACCTGGTGAGACCCTGTCTCTACAAAAAATACAAAACAATTAGCTGGGCCTGGTGGCACACGCCTGTAGTCCCAGGTACTCAGGAGGCTGAGGTGCAAGGATTGCTTGAGCCCGGGAGGTTGAGGCTGCAGTGAACCGTGTTTGTGCCACTACACTCCAGCCTGGGTGACAAAGCGAGACCCTGTCTCAAAACGATCAAAAAAGAAAGCTAAGCAAAATTCATCAGTGAAAATCTGTTACAATTACTAGCAAAGTAACTCAGTGTATATTGTCCTCTAGCGTCTTATGTGTGGCACGCTTTAAAATATAATCCTAACCAGTTTTCAGAATTGCTTTAGAACTTTAAGCTTTGCATGAATTTTTCTTTACTCCTGCATTAATCAAATTAGATATTAGAGGCTTTAAGAGTCTGCTCTTTTAACATTGCCTTTTCTTCCAAAATTAGGTTGGCACTTACCAAGTTGGATATTTTGGACATGTTTACGGAAATCAAAGTTGGAGTTGCTTACAAGTTAGATGGTGAAATCATACCTCATATCCCAGGTATTTTCTTTTAGGCAATATCTAAAGGATATTATAAGGTGAATGTATTAGAGCAGTTTCATAAAGCTCTTCCATATAATTTGTGATAGATAGCGACAGGTTTGATATGCCCTTTATGATTAGTGCAAATTTGCTCACTTATTATTAGTTATTTGGTTCATAGCTAATACTTATTTAGGTGTTGGGTCACAACAAGCATGTGCTCAAACTCAAAAGAAAAAACATGGACCTCTGAGCCTAGCCATACAGCTCTTGAGTCTCATCTTCCCTCCTTTGAAAGCAATTTCCATGGAGGTGTTTCTTCCTTCCTTGGGGAAGTATGCCACTCTTGAGAGTGAATAAGAAGAGGGGTAAGAAGAGCCCTTGTTAAGCTGGCTCTCAGTACATTAGCCCTCCCTATCCTTCAGGCCCCATGAATGACTTTCTCTGCTCTTTATTCTATAGTAGTCATTTGATAAGGATTAGGAATATGCCAAATGAAGGAATATTGACTAGCTTAATAAAACTTGATGAGCTGGTAGGTTTTGTGACTACCTTATGACTTCTGTTTCTTAGGAATTAAGGTTAGCTCTAAGTTCTTAGAAATTAAATGCATATTATCTTTCCTTGTCTTACATGTATGTAAGTATAGAGGGAGTCTAGATATCTTATAAAAAAGTATCTACTGCCATTGTAGGACAATATTCACTTGGAAAACTGGCTGTTCCAGTATATGTTATGTCCTGGTTCTTAATTCTATTTACAAAGCTATTTCAAGAGTTATAACTTCAAACACCAAAAAGAACAGTCTAACCAAGTATAATGACATGTGGCAAGGTCTGTCATCTATGGTAATGTACTCTAGAACATTACAGCAAATTCTTTTAATTAAACTATTAAAAACTAACAAAACACATAAAACTTGTCCATTTCATGTGTTTAATTTTAAAGCTGTTTTTGGTCAAGATCCCCCGGAACCACTCTTGAGATGGAGATTTGTATCCAAGAAGTGTAGTAGAGAATGCTTTCAGCAGTAGCACTTATGAAAGAAGCAGAGGGACTAGTTGAAATACAGTGCAGCCAATCCCATTGGGAGCCACAGAGCTAGGGTGGCCCTTTAGAGTTATACTAAATTGAGGCTAGTAGCCAGAGCTTTGTGCCTCCCAACAACTAGCCACGAAATAAGAGCTGTTCCTCAAGTGAGGTAGCTCCCTTTGGCCAAGAGCAGTTCCTGGAGAGGGACTGAGCTATGAATCAGCAACATGCAGTACTCCCCACCAGCAGCAGAGAGTGCTTAAAGAGGGTAAAATAAGTTGACAGCCTTCTGGGAATAGCTCCTGTAGGATTCTGGTTGTTGTCTTTCCTAGGGAAACTTATAAGAGGAAGGTTAGTGGAGTAAATTAGCCCCTATTGTGGCTATCACAGCAGGAAAGTAGAAGCAAAAGTCCCATTAAGCTTTAAGCTAAGGCTCCCCCTATCATGTTGGATTTCATGTGCCAAAGCCAGCAGGCAAGGAATGGAGTCACTGGAAGAGGTAAATGATTCTGATCAGCATCTCCAATATGCTTTTAAACCCACTGGTGAATTTTTATTTCTAGAATTTCCATTTAGCTCTCTTCTCTACTTCCTATTTCTCTACTGAGATTCCCTATCTGTTCACTCAATAACAATGAAATTTGCTTAATTTATATTAGCTACTTTTTTTCTGTTAGTCTAACATTTAGACCATCTCGAGCTTCTCTTGACTATTCTTTTGCTTGGTTGTGGATCACTGTTTCTATGCCTAATGACTATTGATTGATAGTCATTGGTTGACAGACATTGTGGATGATATATTAAAGAGACTCAGATTCTGTTATCTTCCTCTGAATAGTGTTGATCCTTGTTTTAGGGGACGATTGAATTATTCACTGATCATCTTGAACTTGTATAGTTTGGTTTTATGCTTTGTGTGTAGTTACGTGGAAAACCCAAGATGTTTTTCAAACTTTAAGCTGGTATGAGTCAGTTTCCAGGATCTATAGATCTTGGCAGAGCTTGGTTTTTGGCTTCATTATGGGAGGTTTGTAATAGGTTTCACTCAAGGGCGTGGCTTTTATTCTTAAAGAGCAGCCTTTCTGGTGGCTCTGCTGGATACCAGGAGAGTTAAGGTATAATAATGAGATCTCTTCAATCCAGCAGTGCTGGAGCACCAGTGTACCCTGTCCCTTCCTTTTCAGCAGCACTACTGACTTCTAGAGTCTTTGTTCCACCCCCAACTGTGTAGCAGCTGAGGTCTGGTAAGCCTCTGATGGTCCTGCTCTTTACCTGTGGCGTCCTCCTGTAGCCTTGGGACTCTCACATGGACTTCTGGGGGGCCCTTCTCTCTACAGCTCCTGTCTGATGCCTGGCGCTGCTGATTCTAGCTGCTTCAGCTTTCCTGAAGTCAACTCTCTACCTCCCCAGGTCAGTGGAGCTGCCATTCTCTGCTGACACCAGTGTTCTGAACTGTGGTCAGGAAATGGTCCCTAGGCAGAAAGTTGGGTGGCTTCTGGACTTGCTTGTGAGTTTTCTCTCCCAGGAGCCATGGCTTTGTGCCTGCCTGTCGTTCACTGCCTAGAAAGAGTTGTCATTTTGAGAGCTGGTTGGGAACTGTGTATTTTATGATGACTAGAAATGGAAGCCCCACTGATTCTCTTAATTCCTCCTACCATCTACAACAGCAGTTCCGGCATACCTACTTAGTATGGTTCATTACTTTTTCTAAGCTTCCAAGAGCATTCCTAGCAGTATGTTTTCATCATCTCTGTGTCATGCATCATGAGAGGATAGTCCCATACCAATATAGTCTTACTCAACTTTGTTCTACCACCTGCTGCCCCCCTTGACCCAGCATCCTCAGGATCCAGTTCCATATACACTCTCTTGGTACCTACTGGCAAATGTTGTCTTGTTCCTGCAGATCTTTTAGAATACAGTCCCTTTCCTTCCTTAGTAGGCCCAGTGCTTCCTTAGCCAGGTTACACTGGGACCTGAACCTAGTTATTTACTGGCCAGGAGGGGGAAGGTGAAGGTGGATGTGAGATGGGCACATGCTGCCTTGCAAGACAGAGGCCTCTGCATCATCTTCAAGCAACAGGATGCCACAACCTTTAATAGGAAGTAATGGGACCTTTTGCAGACCCAGAGAGTTTGGAAAATCTAGGGATTCAGGATTTTCAAGTATGTCAACTCAGATGTCCCATTCAGTCTCAGGGCCCCACTTTTTCCCAAACAAAGCTCTGACTTTGCCATAGCAAACTTGCTGGATTGCAGAATTCAGCTTTTTCTGGAGCTTTGCAGTCTGTATGATTGAATTCTCATCTTAATCATTGTCTTTTTCTGCTCTCTGCTGTAGGAGATGGAATTTTGTCTAAGTTCTGCCAGACAGGTTTCATTATCTTTCTCCAGTTCGTGAATAGCGTTCATCAAAAGCCATCCAGTTCTGTTGTTCCACCGTGCTCGAATCTCAGTGCCTCAGATAGAGGCTATCCATACTCTATGTACCCCAGTGGCAGTCCTCATTGCCAGCCAGCCAGCTAGCCAGTGATTCTGCCTCTTAGTTCTCATTTTAGAGCTATCTTCCTCTAACCATTCCTGGTGCCAGCTATCTTAGATTGAGTTCCCTAGGAAACAGACTCCAATGTAGAGATTTGCACATAGGCGGGTTAGCTCATAAGTGCACTGAGCAACAACATCTGTGAGGGAGTGGGAGAAGCAGGATTAGGCAGAGGGAGAAATTGCACTGCAATATAGTTGCAAAAAAGCCTTCACTGATCCCATAGGGAGCTCTGGAGCTAACATAGCCCTTGAAAGTTGTCCCAAATTAAGGTTAAGTGCCCAGGTTGTTTCTATTCCTACATTGACAAGTCAATGGATATGGGCTGCTGGGGGGCAGCAGCTCCCTTTGGTGGAGGACGAGTGCTGCAGAGGCTCTGAACTGTGAGTGGTTCAGTAGGCAGAGCTCCCACAGCTCTCAGTCTTGAGAGAAATCTGGGCAGAGTACCATAGCATCCACTGTATTGACTCAAGTCAAAGAAACTTTTCTTTAGTACATGTTCAGTTTCCATTAGGGGATACAGAGAAAATACGTAGAATAATGAAGAAAATTTCAAGTAGAACCCTAGATTTCTCAGAAGACAGCAGGTATGCAGGCCTTCTTTCTGTGAAGTTGCTGTCATGCAGATCTACAATCCCTAATCAATAGAATGGAAATTCAATAAGCTTTAAAACTGGAAAGTTTTAAGTTTGGCACCCAGATTCATTTGGCAGCAAAACCAGTCTTGAACTAATGTTAGTATTACATAATCTTTATCCTCTTATAGCAAATGATCATATGCGTTGCTGCAGAAATATGTTTGATTATAGAATACTACTCCAGATGGTATTTGCGCTGTTTTACCTTTCTACTACCTGAAGAATTCTAAATCCCAAAACATATGTGGCTCCAAAGATTTTGAAAAGACATTTTGAACCTACAATATATCAAAAAGTTGTTTGACAGTAAACAGTGTGTGCCATGAATAAATGTCCTCTTTAACTTTTAGCAAACCAAGAAGTCTTAAATAAAGTTGAAGTTCAATATAAGACTCTCCCAGGATGGAACACAGACATATCAAATGCAAGGGCGTTTAAAGAACTACCTGTTAATGCACAAAACTATGTTCGATTTATTGAAGATGAGCTTCAAATTCCAGGTAAACATAAACACTTTGTGAATAAGTTTTTTCTTTTCTCTCTCTCTCTTTTTTCTTTTTTTTTTTTTGAGACGGAGTCTCGCTCTGTCCCAGGCTGGAGTGCAGTGGCGGGATCTCGGCTCACTGCAACCTCTGCCTCCTGGGTTCAAGCTATTCTCCTACCTCAGCCTCCCGAGTAGCTGGGATTAGAGGTGCGCGCCACCACGCCTGGCTAATTTTTGTATTTTTAGTAAGAGACGGGGTTTCACCATGTTGGCCAGGCTGGTCTCTCCTGACCTCTTGGTCTGCCCACCTCAGCCTCCCAAAGTGCTGGGATTACAGGCATGAGCCAGCATGCCCGGCCAACTGTCTTTTCTTTTAACTTGCCTATGTGCCTTTGAAATAGAATAAAGGAAAGATCATTGTTACTTTACAGAGTGCACATGATTTGCATAAATGCCCAGGAAGATACAAAGTAATATTTTTATTCCTTAAAGTAAATACGATGCTCATCTTTAAATAGAAGATAATAGATTACTTCTCACCCTTTCTGACCCTGTCTTTAATTCTTAGTCTGTTTTTTTTTTATCCTGTGACATTGTCTCATTCACTTCTCCCTCTTAATAACAAATCCTCATGTATCTCTACCACCACAAAAAATGTTGTGTGTTTTTGGGGGGTTAAAAATGGTTTATGGTTTGTTTGGGTTAAATTACCCTTGAGATTTGGAGTTTCCTGAATATACACTGGGAAATAATTGGTATAGAAAATGGGAAATCTCACTAGAAAAAAATGTAAGAAAAAATTTTTAAAAATAATTAAGCCTATTTATTAAAGAACAAATATAAGATGGCGAGGGAGTTAGGCATAACAACGTATGGCTGTATCTAGTTATGTGAAGTCATTCTTTTAACAGATGGCTTTTTCCTTGTATCGTTTTGTTGGCATTGATGGATATTTGAAACATAAGAAAAAGTGAAGTGTGTGGGATGTGTCCTCCGTGTAAAATCTCTTTTGCCTTGTGCTTCGTTTCCAGCATGATTCTTGTTTTCCAAATTACTAGTTGCCCCTCCCAGCATGATGTCAAATTTAGTAAGCATATTTGCTTACTGCTCTTGGTCAGCATTTTCTTGAAATATAAACAGCAGTGAGTCTAACAAAAATCTGTAAAATACCACGAAGGTTGATCCTAACAGTACCTTATGGAAGCTGGCAATTCTGCAAATAATCTGAAACCATGTGATGCAGATGATTCGATTTCCATAGACTCCTGTAGTGGGCAGTTTCTGAGGCTGTGCAAGTTAAAATCATATTCTCATCTAGATGTTGAAGATGCTTATCTTGGCCTGTTATCAGGAACTTGATCACCAACTTTCTGTAGGTCTCTGCTGGTGTTGGTCAATATTTTACTATCCTAAGTCATTAGGAAAGTGAAAATATTGCACAGTTAAAAAGGGAACAGTAAGGCATACTGTCCTGTGCTGGGTCTTATTTGTACATCCTGTTTAGAAATCGGCACAGTCTGCTAACAGAATAGAGAACAGCAAAAAGGCACATAGGGAAAAGTTATGGTGATACTGAGAAAAGTAGGGGACTACCTGTTTTAATCCCAACGAGTGAACATTAGAGATGAATTGATTCAATTCCTTTTCTCTTTGTATTCTCCTAGTTAAGTGGATTGGTGTTGGTAAATCCAGAGAATCTATGATTCAACTCTTTTAATGATTGCCAGTAATGCAAGAAACACTCCTTGAGAGGGAGGGGAAAAGACTTTCTTAAATATTTCATTTATGACCTGCAAATTCAAGAATAAAGACACTGAAGTAAGTTTGAAGCCCTACAGTTGTTTCCAGTCTTTTCAGATGGATGCCTACTGTGGAGATTAACTTTGGCATATTCCAGTGTCAGCTTTCTTTAGCTGGAATTGCCAAATCATTTGTTGCTCCTGCTGCTCTCATGGTGCCACGTTTTTTTTTTCAATGTTTAGTAATAGTATAATCCATGTTGTTTGATATCAAAAGTAGAATTACTTTTAATGTAGTTTTTCTTCATTATTGTCATTGCGTGTTCTTAAGTTTTACCCCTATTAGATGGTAAGAACAATTAATGCAGTTTTGCACAAATATTTTTACATTCTGATCATTCAGTTCTGTCATTGTAATCTTTGTTGTTAGAAACAAATGATGAAAACATAGGGGTTCTGTAAACTTTTGTAATGCTATGAATTCTGTTTAAATTTTGGGCTGTCTATTTTCTGCTGAAACCATGCAAAATTGAGCTTTGGTGGGGCTGGGAGGGGGTTATGTATTCATGGGACCTTTAATTTGTACAGAACACAGAACTTATTTCTGTCAGTTATTTAATACATTGAAAATTTAGTGAAATGTTCAAAGAGAATAGATGTTTCCCAAAACAACAATCTTTATGTTAAAAATAGTCATTAAAAGATCTGTTGTAATATATGGTGGATATTTTTCTTTAATTTCAAACATTACCTCTGAAATGTGTATCTTTTCTTTTTTATCTTACCATTAATTTTAAATCTAGTGGATTGGTTTTCAACATCGTGCCTGCCGATATGCCTACAGAATCATCTGTAAGTGTCAAAATGAACCCACGTTGTTAGCCATAATTTTGATTATGCCTTTATTTCTCCTTTCTTGAAAAAAAAAAGGTGTTATTTTGACAATTAGGCATAACATTGTTTTGTAGATTATCTTTTAATGAACTATTTTAAATGTTAAATTAGGTGCCACTTAAATTTATTTTATTACACCATGAATAGCTGATTAAAAGAACCAAATATTTCTAGTATGCTTTGCGTATTGTGTTTTTGTTCTACTAAGAGAGGTTAGTAATAGTATATAGGAAGGAGCTTTATCTCTGTAGTGTAATACTTAGTTCAAGAAAAATTCTCAAATAGGAGCAGTATCGTTAGACTCAATAAGTATAAAGAACAATACAGATTATCCTACAAGCCAATTACTGATAGTAATGACTTACATGTAAAAATAATTTATAATGAATATATAATTTCTGTTTAATAGAGAATGAATGGGCTTTTAAAGTCTGCATTCTTATCTTGGTTGCAAGTATTGCACTGTTAAAATGTATTTTTAGTAATGGTTCAGAGACAGATACAAAGAACTCATTCTCCTTTTCAAGTATATGTGTTAGACTCTTCCTAGGTATTGGGTATGCAGTGGTGACAGGAGCACAGTCTTCCTGAAACTTAATGTAGTGGGGGACAGCATGGTAACCAAATAGAGATTTATAAACAGTAGTTACATGCTGCAGTAGAAAAGTACAAGGTCTGATGAATGAGAATCTAGTCTTAATTTAGCAGGGGTTGGAGAAGGCCATTAATGGAAATAATGTCTAAACAGACCAAGCAGATGCGTACAGAGCAGACAGAGGGACATGTACTGTACAAAGGCCCAGAGGCTGGAAAGAATTTGGAAAGTTGGAGCAACTAAACAAAATGAGTGAGGGGCTGATGAGATTGATTAGCTTAGCAGTAAATTCAAGGAGTAAAATCATGGGGGGTTTTTTTGTGTTTTCTTCTTTTTATTTTTTTTTTTGAGGCAGAGTCTCGCTCTGTCACCCAGGCTGGAGTGCAGTGGTGTGATCTCAGCTCACTGCAACCTCCGCCTCCCGGGTTCAATCGATTCTCCTGCCTCAGACTCCTGAGTAGTTGGGATTGCAGTCATATGCCACCATGCCTTTATTTTATAGGCATGAGCCACCATACCTGGCCAAAACCCATGTTTTACATGAAAGAAGAAGACTATAATATAATACAAGACATACAGTAGTTCCCCCCTTATCCATGAGAGATATGTTCAAAGACCCCCAGTGGATGCCTAAAACTGTGGGTAGTAGTACCAAATCATATATATACTGTTTTTTCCAATACATACCTGTGATAAAGTGTAATTTATAAATGAGGCATAGTAAGAGATTAATAACATAATAAAGTAGAACAATTATAACAATATACTGTAATAAAAATTATGTGAATGTGTCTCTCTCTCAAAATATCCTCTATTGTACTGTATTTCCCCTTCTTGTGATCATGGGAGATGCTACAGTGCCTCCGCGATGAGATGCAGTGAGGTGATGTAGGCATTGTGATGTGGCGATGGGCTACTGTTGGCCGTCTGTGTAATGGCTTGGTGTCACTCATTTCAAGGGATTCCTTGCTGAAGTCTTTGCATGGGCTCAGTGCTTTCTGGAGTGACACATTGCCGTTAATATTAAGATGTTTTCTGTTGGTATCTTCCACCCATAAATGGAATGCCTTTTCCATCTTAACTAAGCACTTGTCATGCACCGTGGCCACAGCTTTTGCAGTTTGAGGTGTGACAGCAAAACTAGCGTGAATTTCTTCTTCCTCCTTCAAAATTTCACAGATTTGTTCTTATTGTAAATCTTAGCAACATCAGCATATGATTTGTCTTTATTTCCTTCAGTAGAACTTCCACCTTTTCACTTGAAATGAGTACTTTACAGCTTCCCTTTGGCACACCTGAATTGCCAGCATCACTATTCTTGTGCTTTGGGGCCACTCTTTAGTAAAATAAGGGTTCCTTGGACACAACCACTGAGATACCAGGCAGTCGGTCTGATAACCACTCGATCTGATAACTGAGACAGCTACTAAGTGACTAACAGGCAGGTATTGCAGACAGTGTGGAGACACAGGACAAAGGGATGATTGACATTCTGGGCAGGACAGAGAAGGATGGCCTGATGTCTCATTATGGTACTGAGAGCTGCTTGCAATTTGAAACTCATAAATTATTTTTGGAATTTTCAATGTAATATTTTTGGGGCAGGTTTGGCCTCCAGTAACTAAAACCAACGAAAATGAAACCACAGATGGGGGAGAGACTACTGTATTACGCTTAAGAAGGCCCTAATGGGAGCACAGGAAAATTGCTAAAACTGTATGCTCTAAATTTCAAAACTCAGTAGATGGAAACTGCGTGGCAGAACAAGACACTGAAATGGGAAGAGGGCCTATTTAGTACATATTTTTAATATACTAATTAATGAATATAGTTGAATAGGGATGCAAGAATATCTGAGGCATTTTTGAGAAAGTAATATGTTGAGAGAGGAGTCTTTGTCCTGCCAGATGTTAGAACATTACACAGCTACTGTAATAAAAATATATAGCATTGCTATGAGAAAGAATACATAAGAGAAATGGAATAGACATTCCAGAAATAGATGCAAGCATATTTGGGAACTTAACACAGGCTTATCTAATCTTAGGGAAAGCCGCCTTCATAAAAACAGCAAACTCAGGAACCTAAGGAAAAAATGTTCGGATTGAACTGAGTTTATGTATATATAAATACTATATGTATATAAAATATATATATAGTATTATGAGCAAAGTTTTTTTTAAAGCCTGAGAAAACAAACTTGGGAAAAAATATTTCAGCGCATATCCCTAATGTACAAAGAGCGAATAAAGTGACAAGTAATAGAAAAATGGACAAAAAATTAATATATATCAAGCAATCCACAGAAAAAGAAGTATCAATGGCCCAAAACATGGAAAGTATCCACCTCCACCTTTCGCTATAGATAAAAAAAATATAACTTAACAATGAGAAACCACTTCTCATCTCAGATTGGTAAATATGAAAAGATCAGTGCTATCAAGAATGTGGAGAAATAGATACTTTCACAAACTGCTGGTTACAGTGTGAATTACTACAATCTGTAGGGGAAGCAATTTGGCAATATCGGTTAAAATTTGTATTTGCAAATCCTTTGACCCACCAGCAATCACATTACAAAAAGAAAAAAGAAGGCCGGGCATGGTTGCTCACACCTGTAATCCCAGCACTTGGGAGGCTGAGACAGATGGGTGGATCACCTGGGGTCAGGAGTTCGATACCAGCCTGGCCAACATGGTGAAACCCCATCTCTACTAAAAATACAAAAATTAGCTGGGTATGGTGGCAGGCATCTGTAATCCCACCTACTTGGGAGGCTGAGGCAGGAGAATCACTTAAACCTGGGGGCGGAGGTTGCAGTGAGCTGAGATCGTGCCACCGTACTTCAGCCTGGGGTGACAGAGTGAGACTATCTCAGAAAAAAAAAATACATTTTTAAAAAAGAAAAAGGCAGCCCTATTTCATATGTAATTGAAAACAATGTCAAGGTCTGTTAATAGCATAAGATGGTATTCTATGAACTGGAAGAGAGGAGGGAATAAAATATAAAACTGTGTATATTTGTTGGTCTAAACCAAGGACAAAATATGCAAGGGTGTATATCAAATGGTTAACGTTGGTCACTAGGAGAGAACTTGAAGTTTTCTTTAAATATTTTTGTACTGTTTATATTTTTAAGAGCATATAGTTTTTTTAAATTATTTTTAAGAAATGAGTTATAGGCCGGGTGCGGTGGCTCACGCCTGTAATCCCAGCACTTTGGGAGGCCGAGGCAGGTGGATCACAAGGTCAAGAGGTGGAGACCATCCTGTCTAAAATGGTGAAACCCCCGTCTCTACTAAAAATACAAAAAATTAGCCGGGCGTGGTGGCAGACTCCTGTAGCCCCAGCTACTCGGGGCGGGGCTGAGGCAGGAGAATGGCGTGAACCCAGGAGGCGGAGCTTGCAGTGAGCCGAGATTGTGCCACTGCACTCCAGCCTGGGCGACAGAGTGAGACTCCGTCTCAAAAAAAAAATTAAAAAAAAGAAAGAAATGAGTTATAGCAGTTATTGAGAATAAATTGCTGTTTCAAATGTACCTGAGAACTGAGTACATTCAGTGATTAATAGTTTTAGGAATCCACAGTGTAAATCATGGTCAGTATACTTTTGGGGAAGGATAATTGAGATGTTGACATTTGACATCATTTTACAGGCCTGGTCTTTAGAAACCATATGAACATCCACACTGACACAAATACCGATATTATAAATGAAAGAATATGCTATCATTAGATACCAGAGTCATATACTGTACAAGCTAAAAGATTGCCTGTTTGGAAAATGCTTCCAGAATGTAGGGAAAGAAGAGATTATTGGCTTTGTAACTTGTTGCCCACTGCTTTTTTCTCTTAAGGTTGAAAAGTAATTTTGCTTGGAAACACCAACAACCATTAGCCTAGATGTTTTTGTAGAATAGCGTCCATCTTTCTAGAATCTACCTGAGAAGAAAAGATCTGGGTGACCTTTATACACAGCATCCATCAGTCTTCTTTCACCTTTCTTAGACTTTTTTCTGGCTTTGTCATTTTATTTTTTATCAAAGTGGTGATACATGCATATAATGTTTATTTAAACAACTTTATTGAAGTATGATTTAGACACTGTAACATTTGTCTATTTTAAGGATACAATTCAGTGACATAGTGAATTTACAGAATTATGCAACTGTCACTACTGTGTAATTTTAGAACATTTCCATCCCACCCTAAAGATTCCTCCTGCCCATTTGTAGTCACTCCCATTCCCACACCCAACCTCACAAGTCTACTTTTTGTCTCAATAGAGTTGCCTTTCTTGGACATTTCACATAAATGAAATCACAATATTTAATCTTTTTGCATCTGGCTGGTTTTTTAAATATCTTTTGAGACAATACCATGTGCTTCATTCCTTTTTAATGCTGAATAGTATTCTATTATATGGATATACCACATTTTCTTCATTCATCTGTTCATAGACACTTGAGTTATTTTCAGGGTTTTTTTTTATATTGTGATAGTACTGCTGTGAGCATTTGCATTTAAGTCTTTGTGTGGACATAGGTTTTTGTTTCTCTTAGGTAGATACCTAGGAATGGAATCTCTGGGTCAGATCATACATTTATGTTTAATGTTTAAAAGAAATTTCCAAAGTGACTACATCACTTTACATTCCCCCCAACAATGTATAAGGATTTCCATTTCTTCACATCCTCATCAATACTTGTCATTGTGTATCTTTTGATTATAACCTTTCTAGTGGGTATGAACCGTTGGTTTCTTGTTTTAATTTGTGTTTCCCTAATATGACTAATGATGTTTGAGCATTTTTTTATGTCTATTTATATATCCTTGGTGATGTTTATTCAGATATTTTGCCCATTTTTAAATTGGTTGTTTTAATTATATAAGAAGTCATTATACATTCTGGATACAGATTCTGTATTAGACATAATTTGCAAATTTTTTTTCTAGTCTGTGGCTTGCCATTTCATTGTCTTGGTGATGTTTTTTGAAGTGCAAAAGTTTTAAATTTTGGTCAAATCCAACTTATCAGTTTTTCCTTACCTAGGTTGTTTTTGGTGTCACATTTAAGGAATCTGCCAATCCAAGGTCATTAAAAGTTTCATTTGATGTTTTAAAAAAATGTATAGTTTAAACTTTCACGTGTGAAAGACCATTTCACAAAATCATCTGTGATCCATGTTGAGTTAATTTTCATGTGATGCGAGGTAAAAGCCTTAAGTGTATCTCCTTGTGTGTAGATATTTACTTGTCCTCGCACCGTTAGTTGAAAATACTATTCTTTTCCCATTGAAATGCCTTTGCCCCTCTGTTCTTATACCAGCACCACAGTGTTTTGATACTGTGGCTTTATAGCATGTTTTGAAATTCAGGAGTACAAGCCCTCCAGCTTTGTTCTTTTCAAGATTGATTTTGCTATTCTGGGTCTTTTGCGTTTGATATAAATTTTGGGGCTGGCATCAGAAAAATGGCAGAGTTTTAGCTCCAAACACCCATTTCTCCACAGAATCATCAAAAAACAAATAGGAACTATCAGAATGAACTTTGTCAGAACTCTGGAAAACACAGGTTTACATCAGTCAGGTAAACAATAGATAAAGAAAAAGGCAAATTAAAAATGGTAGGAAAGCTGTGTGGTGTTTTTACTTGTCCTTGCCCATCCCCTTTCCAGGTCAATGGCAATCTTGAAGAAAGCAACCTGCATTGCCAGTGTGGGACCCTGGTCTCTGGTTCTAAAGGGAGCAGAGCAGACCTTATTTGCAAATTATTGTGGTCTTTCTATTTTAACCTCTCTGTGGCTGCCTGAAGGGCTGACACAGAGTGCCCATCTGTGTTTTATCTAACTCAGAATTCACCTAGGATGGAAAAGTGGTGAGCATTGCTTGGAAACATTATAAGGAGAACAAAAAAACCACAACTGCTTGGAGCAAAAGATGATATACACAATCTAAAGCCTGGGAGGAAGAACAGAGGAGAGTTTATTTGAGAAATTAGGTCTTTCAAAAGTGTATATTAGGGAATATAGAAAGCCATATACATGCTCAGGGCAGGACACATGCCCAGAAAAGACCTGAGAAGATCCTAAGCTCTCACCTTCGGCTGATCTCTAAGTTTAGTGCAAGAAGAGAAGGCTGAGGCAGAGTTGGAATCCCTGAGCCCAGAGCTCATGTGTGTGTGTGTGTGTGTGTAATCCTAGTATTTAAGGAAATCTTTGTCAAAGCACTAGTTGAACACAAACTAAAGGAACAGAGACTTCAGTAACTAATACAATAAGGAGTACAGTTTTTGCAAAAACAAAAAAGGTTGGAAAAATCAGTAACACAATCTTAGACTTCAACAATCAACGGCAAACCCTAGGGAAAAGAAAAACTGATTTACAGAGTTTCCACATTATAATATTCAAATGTCCATTTTCAATAACAGCAACAAACTACAAAGAAACAGGAAAGTATGGTCTACTCACAGGAAAAAAAAAAAGAAAAAGACTAAAGCCATCCCTGAGAAAGATGATACATCAGACTTACTAGACAAGGACTTTAAATCAACTGTCTCAAATATGCTCAGAGAACTAAAGGAAACTAAAGAACTAAAGGAACTAAAGGCAAATGATGTATGAACACAAGAATATCCAAGAAGAGAAATGATAAAAGGGAACCAAATACAAATTCTGGAGCTGAAAATTATGGTGACTGAAATGAAAAAATTTGCTAGAGGCATTCAGAAGATTTGAGCAGGCAGAAGTAAGAATCAGTGAACTTGAAGATAGGACAACTGAAAATATTCAGTCTGAGGAGCAGAATGGAAAATGAAGAAAAGTGAACAAAGCCCAAGGAACCCTACCATCAAGTGGACCAACATGCATTACGGGAATCCCAGAAAGAGGCAGAAAGAATATTTGAAGAAATAATTCATCAGAAACTTCCAAAATTTGATGAAAGGCATGAATCTACAAATCCAAGAAGCTCAATGCATTCAAAGTAGAATAAACACAAAAGAGATCTACACTGAGACACATAATCAAACTGTCGAAAGACAAAGATGGAGCATCTTGAAAGCATCAAGAGAGAAGTGATTCATCATGTACAAGGGACCCTCAGTAAGATTAAAAGCTGATTTCTTACAAAAATCATAGAGGCCAGAAAAAAAAAATGGGATAACATTTACTTAAAGTACTAAAAGAAAAAAACTAAGAATATTTGGCAAAATTATCCTTCAAATATGAAGGAGAAATTAAGACATAAGTAGATAAACAAAAGTGGAGGAAGAATATTACCCATAGGCCTTTCCTGTCAAGAAGTGCTACATGTCCAGGTGCAGTGGCTCACACCTGTAATTCCAACACTTTGGGAGGCCAAGGTGTACGGATCACTTGAAGCCAGGAGTTTGAGACCAGCCTGGCCAACATGGTGAAACTCCGTCTCTACCAAAAATACAAAAAAAATTAGTGAGGCATGGTGATGGGTGCTTGTAATCCCAGCTACTAGGGTGGCTGAGGCAGAAGAATCGGTTGAACCCGGGAGGCGGAGGTTGCAGGAGAATCACTTGAACCCGGGAGGCGGAGGTTGCAGTGAGCTGAGATCGTGCCACTGCACTCCAGCCTGGGTGACAAAGCAAGACTGTCTCAAAAACAAACAAACAAAAAAAGCTACAGGGAAAGAGCTACAGGGAGTCTCCCAGTTTGAAATGAAAGGAAACCAGCCAGTAACTTCAAGCTGAATGAAGAAATAAAGATCTCCAGTAAAGCTAAAAAGGTAAAAGCCAGTATTAATGTATTTCTGTTTTGCAACTCCACTTTTTATTTTCTACACAATTTAATAGATAAATGCATAAAAAATAATTACAAATTTTTGCTATTGGGTACACTGCATAAAAATGTAATTTGTGACAACAATAAGGTCAGGAAAGAGCTGTATAGGAGCAGGGTTTTTGTGTGTTATTGAAGCTAAGTTAGTATCAATTAAAATAATATAGTTACAAATTTAGGATGTTAATTGTAATCTTCATGGTAACCATTAAGAAAATATCTAAAATATATACACAAAGGAAATGATAAGGAATTTAAACAAAACCCTACAAAAAAATCAGCTAAGGACAAAAGAAGGCAATAATGAAGGAAATTAGGTATAAAAGATAATCCAACTGTATGCTATCTACAAGCAACTCACTTTAATCCAAAGATACAAATAGGTTGAAAGTGAAAGGATGGAAAAAGTTATCACACAAAATAGACTTTACATTTAAAACTGTTACAAGAGACAAAGAAGGGAATTACCTATTGATAAAAGGGTCAATTCATCAACAAGATGTAACAATTATAAACATATTCATACTCAGCAAGCAACAGAGCCCCACCAAAATATATGAAGCAAACACTGACAGATTTGAACGGAGAAATGGTTCCACAATAATAGAAACTTCAATACCCCATTTTAATAATAAAAATTATTATTACTATTAGAACATTTAGAAGATTAATAAGGAAATAGAGGACTTGATTAACATCATAAATAGTACACTTCCCCCAACAATAAAAATACACAATCTCCTCAATTGCACATGGAACAGTGTCCAGGACAGAGGATAGGTTACAAAACAAGTTTAGAAATGCTGAAATCATACAAAGTATTCTTCTCTGATTACAATGGAATGGAGCTAGAAATCTATAACAAAACTAGAAAATTCACAAATACGTGGAAATTAAACAACACACTCTTAACCAACAGATCAAATAAGAAATTCTAAAGGAAATTAGGAAGATTGCTTTTTTGCATTTTATGGATGTAACTATTTTGACAAATCTCATGTCAAATTATGATATGATGGTAATATGTCAACTTGACTGGGATGAGGGATGCCCAGAAACAAGGTTAAAACCTTGTTTCTGGGTGTGTCTATGAAGGTGTTTCTGGAAGAGATCAACATTTGAATCAATGAACTGTAAAGATTGCCTTCACCAATGTGGATGGGCATCGTCCAATCTGTTGAGTGTCCAGATATTTAATAGAACAAAAAGGCAGAGGAATAGTGAATTTGCTCTCTGCTTGAGCTGGGACATTCATCTTCTCTGGCCTTTGAATTTGGGCTGGTACTGAACACCATTGGCTCCCCTGGTTGTAAGGCCTTTTGGCTTGGACTGGAACTACACCAGCAGCTTTCCTGGGCCTCCAGTTTGCAGATGGTAGGTTGTGGGACCTTCCAGGCATGGTGTTCATGTGAGCCAATCCCTCATAAGTCTCTTTGTGTATGTGTGTGTGTGTGTGTGTGTGTATATATATATGTATATGTATATGTGTATATATATACGCACATTGTATTAGTTTTATTTCCTTGGAGAACCCTAATTAATGCAGATTTTGGTACCAAGAATGGTACTAGAATAAGAAAGTTCTAAGAATTAGTTTTTTGAATTGTTTCTGGGGCTTCTGAAATACTGCATTCTTTTGTCCTTAGCTGATTTTTTTTTGTAGGGTTTTGTTTAATTTCCTAATCTTTTCCTTTGTGTATATATTTTAGATATTTTCTTAATGGTAATCTGATTGGATTTAAAGGGGCTGATGATTCTGTATCCAGTAGTAAAGAGAGCCCTGATAATAGTCCATGCTTGGATACTCCTAATCAACTCCTTATAGGAAGCAAGGAGGCTGGGCACGGTGGCTTATGCCTGTAATCCTAGCACTTTGGGAGGCCGAGGCAGGCAGATTGCCTGAGTTCAGGAGTTCAAGACCAGCCTGGGCAACACGGTGAAACCCCGTCTCTACTAAAATATAAAAAATTAGCTGAGTGTGGCAGCGTGCGCCTGTAGTTCCAGCTACTCAGGAGGCTGAGGCAGGATTATGGTGTGAACCCGGGAGGTGGAGCTTGCAGTGAGCCGAGATTGTGCCACTGTACTCCAGCCTGGGCGACAGAGCGAGACACTACCTCTCAAAAAAAAAAAAAAAAAAAAAAAAAAAAAAAAGCAAGGGACCTCAAGGGTTCTGTGTCTGATACTTTTAAACATTTTTGGAAAACTAAGGAGTATAATAGCATTGGTTGGTTGCTCCTAATGTCACTGAAATTGCTGAGAGTCAAATCCTGGGACTTGATGAATTACAGCGCATGTTGAATTTCCAGCCCCACAGGGCATCCGCTCTTTTATTTTATTTATTTTATTTTATTTTATTTTATTTTATTTTATTTTAGTTTAGTTTATTTTAGTTTATTTTAGTTTATTTTAGTTTAGTTTAGTTTAGGTTAGTTTAGGTTAGTTTATTTTATTTTGTGACGGAGTCTCGCTCTGTCGCCCAGGCTGGAGTGCAGTGGCGTGATCTCGGCTCACTGCAAGCTCCGCCTCCTGGGTTCACGCCATTCTCCTGCCTCAGCCTCCCGAGTAGCTGGGACTACAGGCACCCACCACCAGGGCATCTGCTCTTAAAGTGGGGACATTAATTAGGAAATAGTGGAATCCTGTCAATTGAAATGGGGATGTTTGGGAAGACCTAGATAAAGCTGGAGACATTGAGCCCCTAAAATCTGATGAGTCTTTTTTGCCAGTGTCTCCCAATCCCAGTGGAAGTGCCTTCCCCAAACCCAGTGACAGTGGCATTCCCACTCACAGTGATATCAGCCTTTTCTCCTCTGAGGAAACCCTGCATTACCTAAGGAAACTGACAGGGTGGTGATTCCCACCACATCCCCATTCAACACTATTTGGCCTGTGCAGAAGACAGATGGATCTTGGAGAATGACAGTGGATTATCATAAGCTTAACCAGATGGTGACTCCAATTGCAGCTGCTGTACCAGATGTGTCATTGCTTGAGAAAATCAGCACATCTCCTGCTACCTGGTATGCAGCTATTGTCTTGGAAAATGCCTTTTCTCCATCCCTCTCCATAAGGCCCACCCTAAGCAGCTTGCTTTCAGTGACATGACCAGCAATGCACCTTCACTGTCCTGTCTCAGGGGCATATCACCTCTCCAGCCCTAGGTCATAATTTAGTTCATGGGGATCTTGATCACCCTTTCCTTCCACAAGATACCACGTTGGTCCGTTACTTTGATGACATTTTGCTGATTGGACATAGTGAGCAAGAAGTAGCCATAACTGTAGACATATGGTAAGACATTACCATGTCAAAGAGTGGGTAATAAATCCAACTGAAATTCAGGGGTCTTTACCTCAGTGAAATTTCTAGGGGTCCAGTGGTGTGTGGTGTCGAGATATCTCTTTCTTTCTCTCTTCCTTCCTTCCTTCCTTTCTCTCTCTTTTTTTCTTTTCTTTCTTTCTTTCTTTCTGTTTCTCTTTCTCTTTCCTTTTCTTTCTTTTGAGAGAATGTCATTTTAAACAAATTTATGTATTTGTTTCATGAGAAAGAGCATTCTGAAAGCAGTGTAGCCAGCATACAATCACAATGCTGCAGAACATGGAATAAGCTTTTAAAAAATCGCAGAGCAGAGAATGGGATGGTAAATTGTTAAAATCAGGAAAGAGTCCAACAAAGTAGGAATCCAATTTGGTTCCCACAGTGGGGTAATCAGTTTAGGAAGTCCATTCGTGATGTTAATTACAACAATGGAATAGAAACATTTCAGTTGATACTAGATATTTTCATATGCTTGTTTCGGTAGAGATATCCTTTCTAAGGTGAAGATTAAGTTGTTTCATCTGGCTCCTCCCACAGCCAAGAAAGAGGCACAATACCTGCTGGGCCTCTTTGGATTTCTGGAGGCAACATATTCATTTGGGTGTGTTAACGCTGGGCCGTTTACTGAGTTACCTGAAAAGCTGTGAGTTTTGAGTGGGCCCAGGACAAGAGAAGGCTCTGCAACAGGTCCAGGGTGCTGTGCAAGCTGCTCTGCCGCTTGGGCCATGTGACCAGCAGATCTGTCAATGGCAGGTAGGGGAGCCTTTGGGTAGGCCCATAGAGGTGAGTCACACCTCCAGCCTTTAGAACTTTGGAGCAAGAGCACAAAGTATGTTTTTTCCCTCTGGGCAGGTGGGGGAGGGTGAGGAGGGTGCAGAGGGGAGGAGAGGGGATCCACTGTCAGACCCCCTGTGCTTTCCAGATTTGAGCATTCAGTGAGCTGTCAGGTGGGGCAGGTACTGGGAGCACTGCGCCCCCGCTCCCCACCACCAGTTCCCCTGCCAGGATGCCCCACCCTGAGCCTGAGGCTGCACGGGCCCAAAAACCACTAGGAAAAGTGAAGAGAGGACTCAAGCTCAGAGAGGGAAGGACACTTGCCCAGGGTCACAGCACCAAGTGAAGGATAGGGCCTTGCTCATTCATCTGGATTTTCAGAGGCTGAGTCTGGTACCAGGCCAAGGGGCCTGACCAAGGAGAACATCCAAGAAGCAATCAGTAGAGATGGCTCACCACTGTCTCTGCAAGGCTTGCCCCAGGTCCAGCCTAGCCCCTAGGCACCACATTGGACAGTGATCTAGGTGAAGACGAAGGCCTCCTCTCCCTGGCAGGCAAGAGGAAGATCAGGGGGAGCCTGTCCAAGGAGTCAGTGGAGATCCTTGGGGACTGGCTGTACTTGCACCTCTGTAATGCCTCCCCCTGGGGCCGGGGAAGCTGAGCCTTTCTGGTCAGACCAACCTGTCAGCACTGCAGATGTGTAACTGGTTCATCAACGGCTGGCAGTGGCGTCTCCCAGACTGCAAAGATGCGAATCAGTTTACCCTCTCCCGAGGTGGGGGTGAGGCCTCAGATGTGGCCCAGCCCAGTGGCAGCAGCCCTTCAGGGCTGCCTGTGTCTGTCCCAGCCCCCACAGATGTGCTCTCCCTGTGTGTGTGCTGCGTGCTGCTCTGCTCAGGCCAGCGTGGAAAGCCTGCAGCCCCCTTCCCACGGCGGGAGCCGGAGCCCCCCAATACTCTGACTCCTGGTAGCACACTCACCCTGCTGACCAGGACTGAGGCTGGAAGCCCCACAGGTGCACTCTCCAACATGCCACCAGCCACATCCCTAGAACGAGACAAAGAGGCTTCAGCAGCTTCCAGCTGCTTCCAGTCCTCCAACTACAGAGGGCTGCTGAGATGGAGCTTGAGAAGCAGCAGCACCTGTTACTCCCATTCCTGCACACTCCCATCCCTTTAGTCTCTGAAAACCTCAAGTAGGTGTCTGTCAACAGGGGTGCTCGAGGCTCAAACCAGCTGTCTTGGGTTCCCGTTTGGGTCCCCTCCATACAGAGGGTTTTCTGTGGATCACTGCCAAACATTGGGATCATGTCCTCCGTCCAGAGGTCTTCAAGAGGAAGATGCCAGCTGGCATCGCTGTGCTGTGATGGGGGCCCTCTCCTCTGCTGACTCTTGCCATTTTTCCAGGCCTCCCCTCAGTGAGGAGACCAGGCGATGGGAGACAGGCATGGTGCTGCTTCTGCTGCTCCAGAGAAACCCTGGGACACCTTTGTTCTGCTTGGTTTTCTGGGCTGGGCTCAGGAAACCTGCCCAGTTCAGGCCTATATTGGGTCCAAGCTGCCCCTGTGCTGCTTCTGTCAAGCGAGGTGTGGACATTCCAAGTTCGTAAGCATGAACAAAAGAAAAGAGGAACCCAGCAGATGTAACAGAACTGACTCCAGTTGTGTAGAGTTTTGCTAAACTGTTTATCCCCTTTTGCTGTGGTTTACATTAATGGCAATAGTTAGCCAGGTGTGGGGAATGAGAGTGCATTGCTCGATAGGGTCTGATGAACTGGGAGTAACCCACCATTGCAATTGGGGATTGTTTTGCAAGGAAATAGTATTTTTATGTGGGGGACCAGCAAAATCTCTACATTAGTGTAAAATTTCAAATAGTTGTTTTATCGTTGGTTTGGTTTACCAAAAAAAAAAAAAAAAAAAAAAAAAAAAAAAATTTTGGAGCAGGGCCCTGCCAACATCCTTGGATAGCTTCTCTCCTTTTGAGAGACAACTCTTGGCCTACTACTGGGCTTTAGCAGAGACTAAATGCTTGACCATGGGCCACCAAGTTACCGTGCAACCCTAGCTGCCCATCATGAACTGATGTAATCTGACCCGCCACGCCATAAAGTTGGGCGTGCATAGCACACAACATCCGGTTCTCAAATGCAAGTGGTATATTTGTGATTAGGCCCTAACAGGGCCTTCTGAAGGCACAAGTGGGTTATAAGAAGTGGTCTACATGTCCACGGTCCCCATTCCTTCTATACTGTTTCTCCTTCTCAGCCTGAACCTGTGGCTTCATGGGGAGTTGCCTATGATCAGCTGACACAGAAAAAGAAGACTGGGGCCTGTTGTACAGATGGCCCTGCATGATATGCAGCAGTGCCTGCAAGTGGACAGCTACAGCACCGCAGTCCCTCGCTGGAGCGCCCCGGACAGCGGGAAAGAGAAATCCTCCCAGTGGGGCATAACTTTGCGTCGTAGACTTAGTTACGCACTTTGCTTGGAAGGAGAAATGGCCAGTGTGCAATTAAATATTCATGGGCTGTAGCCAGTGGTTTGGCCGGATGGCCCAATGTGATTGGAAATTTAGTGACAAGTTTGGGGAAGGGGCCAAGTGTGGTGGCTCATGCCTGTAATCCTAGCACTTTGGGAGGCTGAGGCAGGCGGATTGCTTGAGCTCAGGAGTTCAAGACCAGCCTGGGCAACATGGCAAAACCCCATCTCTGTTATAATTTTTTTTTTTTTTTTGAGACAGAGTCTCACTCTGTCGCCCAGGCTGGAGTGCAGTGGTGTGATCTCGGCTCACTGCAACCTCCGTCTCCCAGATTCAAGCGATTCTCCTGCCTCAGCCTCCCAAGTAGCTGGGATTACAGGCACCCGCCACTATGCCTAGCTAATTTTTGTATTTTAATAGAGACGGGGTTCCACCATGTAGGACAGGCTGGTCTCAAACTTCTGACCTCAAATCTACCCTCCTTAGCCTCCCAAAGTGCTGGGATTATAGGCGTGAGCCACTACACCCAGCCCCTCTATTATAATTAAAAAAAAAAAAAAGAAATTTAGGGAACAGGTATTTGGATAGATCTCTCTGGGCAAAAAACACAAAGACATTTATCCCATGTGAATGTTCATTGAAGGGAACCTCAACAGAGGATTTTGTTAATTAATTTTATTTCTGAGACAAGATATGCTCTGTCGCCCAGGCTGGAGTGCAGAAGTTTGATCATAGCTCACTGCAGCCTCAAACTCCTGGGTTCAAGCAATCATCCCACCTCAGCCTTCTGAATAGCAGGGACTACACGTGCATGCCTCCATGCCTGGATTATTTATTTATTTATTTATTTTGTAGAGATGAGATTTTATTATATTGACCAGGCTGGTCTCAAACTCCTGGGCTCAAGCAATTTTTCCTGCCTCAGCCTCCCAAAGTGCTGGGATTACAGGCATGTGCCACTGCACCCAGCCAACAGAGAAGGATTTTAATAATCAAATGGATAGGATGACCCATTCTGTGGATACAAGTCAGATTCTTTCTCCAGCCACCACTGTAATTACCCAATGGGCTCATGAATAAAATAGCCATGGTGGCAAGGAAGGAGATTACACATGGGCTCAGCAACATGGACTTCAACTCACCAAGGCCAACCTGGCCCCCAGTATGGCACCATTCCCTGGAGCAATCGGTCAGCTACCTGGTGGCAGGTTGATTACATTGGATTGCTTCCATCATAGAAGTTTGTCCTTACTAAAATAGACACTTACTCTGGATGTGGATTTGTCTTCCCTGAACACGATACTTCTGCCAAAACTATTATCTGTGGACTTCCAGAATGCCTTATCCACCATCATGGTATTCCATACAGCATTGCTTTCTGATTAAAGAATTCAACTTTACAGCAAAAGAAGTGCAGCAATGGGCTTATGTGCATGGAATTTTTTGATCTTACTATGTTCCCCACTAACCAGAAGCCGCTGGCTTGATAGAGCTGTGGAATAGCCTTTCGGAGAATCAGTTAACGGTACCAGCTAGGCGGCAATACCTTGCAGGGGTGCAGCAAGGTTCTCCAGAAGACTGCAAATGCTCTGAATCAGTGTCCAGTATATGGTGCTCGCTCTCCCATAGCTAGGATTCACAGATCCAGGAATCAAGAGGTAGAAATGGGAGTGGCATGACTCACTATTACCCTTAGTAACCCATTAGCAAAATGTTTGCTTACTGCTCCCAGGATTTTATGCTCTGCTGGCCTAGAGACCTTAGTTCCAGAGGGAGGAATGCTTCCACTAGGAGAAACAATGATCCTGCTGGACTGGACTTAAGACTGCTGCCCAGCCATTTTAGGCTCCTCACGCCTCAGAGTCAGCAAGCTAAGAAGGAAGTTATGTTGCTGGTTGGGGCGGTTGATCTGGACGACCAAGGGGAAATTGAACTACTCCACTACTCCACAAAGGAAGAATATTTCTGGGATATGGATCACTTAGGATGTCTCTCAGTATTACCATGTCCCAACCCAATCCAGGCAGGACTACTAATGACCAAACCCTTCAGGAATGGAGGTTTAGGCCACTCCACCTGGTAAAGAACCATGACTGCTGAGTTATGTGTTGAAGTCAAAAGGGATACAGAATGGATAGTAGGAGAAGGCAGCATTTTATAAATATCAGTTGCAACCGTGTGGCCAGTTACAGGAATGAGGACTGTAATTGCCATATGTCCTCATTTTTTTTTAAGACAGAGTCTCGCTGTGTTGCCCAGGCTGGAGTGCAGTGGCGTGATCTTGGCTCACTGCAACCTCCGCCTCCTGTGTTCCAGTGATTCTCCTGCCTCAGCTTCCTGGGTAGCTGGGATTACAGGCACGCACCACCACGCCTGGCTAATTTCTGTATTTTTAGTAGAGATGCAGTTTCACCATGTTGGCCAGGCTGGTCTTGAACTCCTGACCTCAGCTGATCCACCCGCCTTGGCTTCCCAAAGTGCTAGGATTACAGGGGTGAACCACTGCACCCGGCCTCATTTTTTAATAAGCATGTTTGTACGTATACATACATATTTTAGGCAAAAATGTTTGCTTTATTTCCTGTCTTATTCCCTCATCATATAACATAAGATGTACTGACCTTATATATAGTATTTGAGTATTGTTAATGCTACATCATAGTATTTAAGTTATAGACTATCAGAAGAGTAAACATCATTCAAAGACTTCACCTCCTCTTCCGGGAGGTAAACACCCTGGGATTAGTGTGTTTTCGGTTGTGCGCAGAATGTTAATATCATGTTAGGCAGGATTATGACCTTGTTATTTATTTGGAAGTTAAGTATGGTTTAAGATGTTTATGGGTGCCAAGTTGACAAGGGGTAAACTTGTGATGGTTAATTTTTTTTTTTTTTAATCGAGACAGGGTCTCACTCTGTCACCCAGGCTAGAGTCCAGTGGTGTGATCATGGCTCACTGCAACCTCGAACTCCTCAGGCTCAGGTGATCCTCCCACCTTAGCCTCCTGAGTAGCTAGGACTATAGGCATGCACCACCATGCCTGGCTAATTTTTGTATTTATTTGTAGAGGTGGGGTTTCACCATGTTGCCCAGGATGGTCTCAAATTCCTTTCCTCAAGTGATCCACTCACTTCTGCCTCCCTAAGCACAGAAATTACAGGAGTGAGCCCCTATACCTGGCCTGATGGTTAACTTTATTTGTTCACTTGATTGGGCTAAGGGATGCCTAGTTAGCTGGCAAAACATTATTTCTGGGTGTATCTGTGAAGGGGTTTCTGAAGGAGAGTAGTGTTTGAGTCAGTAGACTGAATAAAGCAGGTGTCCTTCACCAACGTGGACAGGCATTATCCAATCCTTTGAGTGCCTTAATAGAACCAAAAGATGGAGGAAGGATGAATTTGCCGTCTCTGGTTGAGCCAGGACATGCATCTTCTCCTGTCTTTTGACATCAGCACTCCTAGTTCTCAGGCCATCAAACTTGGACCTAGACTTACAACATTGGTTCCCCAGTTTTCCAACCTTCGAACTTGGACTGGAACCACACCACCAGCTTTCACGAGCTTCCAGCTTGCAGATGGCAGATCCTGGGACTTCTCAGCCTCCATAATTGCACAAGCCAATCCATCAAAACAAATCCTCATTTCATACATACATACATAATACATATATATATTCTATTTATATATATAATATATCTATTATTAGATTATTAATAATATATCTATTATTTATATATTATATATAAAATAATATATTATTAGATTATTAATAATATATATTATAGATATATAATAATATATATGTATATATATATATATTCTGTTTCTGTTTCTCTGGAGAACCCTATCATTTGATCATTGATTGGCCCTTCACATTTAAGACTAAGGCAATGGAAAACTATATGGAACTCTGCATTCTTGGGAGAAGTTTATCAGTTAATAGGTGTTACTTTAGAGTGAGTGAGGAGGGAGTCAACTAGTATGCTGGGGAACTGGGGGAGGGCAGGGGTCCCTAGAAGCCAAATGTAAGGTTTTTTTCCTTTGGGATTCTTTCCTCTCCCTAGAGAAGACCCTTTAGCTTTCTGCCTGAGGAGCTGATGCCTAGTTGTCAGGCTTTCTTCTTGCCAAGATAGGGGTGCTAACTCCTGGACACAGACTCTCAGTTAATCCTTTTTATCAGTCCCACATCTCGCTACAGCCTCAGGCTACACCTGGGTTTCTCCATCCAGAGCCCCTTGAGGGTCTCCAGTGCCAGTTTTCTTTATAATTGGCCATGTCCCCCCGGTTCTTTTTTTTATTTTTCCCAACAGCGATGCAATTATTGTGCAGACACAATGATCTTCTTACCTGATCCTGCGTATACATTGGCCTAAATGTAAGATAGCTTGCCAGCATCAGCAATAAGACTGGGAGTGGGGCTTAAATTCAAGTTCTCTTAAGGATAGATCTTGATTCCCTGTTCTAAGCTGACCAACTTAATCTGCAAAGAATTTGCAACATGTAAATATTTTAGGATTATAGCCATCTGTATACACACTGAAACTGAAAGTAGTTCTGCTGCCATTAACTTAGTCTAAAAGGGCCACCTAAGAATGCCAAACGTTATTTTGTTCGAATGCCGTGGTTATTTTAGTTTAAAAGCATTTCTTTCAAAGCTGCTTCTCTCTTCACAACAGTAGAGCTCTGGCAGTGAATTAAGCGGTCGAGGATTCAGCGAAACTGTGGCTAATTTCTGGTTCCAATCTGGAATTTAAAACAAATTAAGGATTTATTTAAAGACTACTCACTCCTAATTTTTAACACACTGTCCTTTTAGCAGTTGTGCACAGTAACAAAATAACTTTTGGGGTTTAAGACAAATGAATGCATTTAAAATGTGGGAAAAAGGACTCAGTCAAAAGGTTGTTTCTTTGGTTCAGTCTCTGATTAAGAGGCATATTATTGAATTATGCCAAAATGTAAATAAAATGAAATAAATTACATAAATTTGCATGTCGACATCTCATTCTGTACCCCCAAACCTTTTTAGTCGTACATTATCAGTGCATTATTTTGTATCAAATTGTACTCATTGCCATCCCTAAATTATTTTTTTCTCTTTTTTCAGAGGTTTCTTTGTTTTTTCAAATTTTATTGACTATAAACCTTTGGATTAGAAAAGTTCAATGAACTCCAAACAGAATAAACAAAGTTCAAAACCATACAAAATCAATCACTATGTTATTTAGGAATAGATACGTATATGGTAAAAACAGTCAATAGCAAAGGCAAGATTAACACAAATTCAGAATAGAGAGTACGTCTGGGGGGAAGGATGGGGGGACTCAAAGGCTTTAAGTATATTAGGGAATTATTTTTCACAACTGACCTAAGGAATAAATAAGTATTTTATTATTACTCTTTAAATTGAATATATACAAAATATTTTTTGCAGGTATGATAGATATCACAATAAATAGAAAATAGGCCAGGCGTGGTGGCTCAAGCCTGTAATCCCAGCACTTTGGGAGGCCGAGGCGGGTGGATCATTTGAGGTCAGGAGTTCGAGACCAACCTGGGCAACATGGTGAAACCCCATCTCTACTAAAAATACACAAAATTAGCCGGGCGTGGTGGCAGGTGCCTGTAATCCCAGCTACTCGGTAAGGTGAGGCAGGAGAATTGCATGAACCCGGGAGGCGGAGGTTGCAGTGAGCCAAGATCGCACCATTGCACTCCAGCCTGGGCAACAAGAGTGAAACTTCGTCTCAAAAATAAAAAAAAAAAAAGAGAAAAGCAAAGAAATCAATGAAGTTCATCCATTCTTTTGTGTTACTTATAATAACACAAACTAGAAACCTGGGAGTCACCCTTGACCACTCTCTCACCAACCAAATCCAATTAATTTTCACTTCCTACTTCTCTTCACTCCCCCATCACACCCTGGTCCAGGCCACCTGGACTTCACCTGAAACACTGATATCCTTTCCTCTTCCTTACACTCCTGCTGTAATCCAACCTCCACACAACAGCCAAAGAAAACACTTTACACCTTATCTTTCTTCAACTTGAATCTATTTCACCATCCCTTTTGCTATCAGAAGCAACAGAGTGACAAGTACATTGCCCAGGGCCACACAGCCAGGAAATGGCAGAGGCAGAACTCAAAATCTACTGGTCTTACTTGAGATTTCACATGTCTACACCCACTCTCCTACCTTGGGTGATACTGCCGTTCCTAAATTCATACCCATTGGTGTTCCCTTGTATTTTATAACCTCTAATCTATAATCATTAACAATTTTGCTTATCTAAAAATAAGGGTTCAAAGAGAGCTTCACTTTAATACAATTATTGCTCAAGGAACCAAAGGCTAGTGTTTCAAAAGCATTGTAACAAAACTTTTTTTTTTTTTTTCAGACGGAGTCGTACTCTGTCGGCCAGGCTGGAGCGCAGTGGCGCCATCTCGGCTCACTGCAACCTCCACCTCCCATGTTCAAGTGATTCTCCTGCCTCAGCCAAGTAGCTGGGATTACAGGTGCCCGCCACCACCCCTGGCTAATTTTTGTATTTTAGTAGAGATGGGGTTTTGCCATGTTGGCCAGGCTAGTCTCGAACTCCTGACCCCAAGTGATCCGCCCACCTTGGCCTCCCAAAGTGCGGGATTACAGGTGTGAGCCACTGCGCCCGGCTGCATTGTAACAAAACTTTATTATATTATTAGGTGAATATTAGAGTTTATTACATTAATATTCAGAGTAATTCTCAGTTGTACACTGATATTGCCATCTCAAAAAGATTAATTTGCCCAAGTATACATAGCTTATAAGAGGTGCAGTCCACATCTGACACAGAACAGACTCCAAAATCATTAATCTTTCACTGTTCTAGTCTGCATTCCTTAGTGCTTCAACAGTATCTCAAGAAATAAACATTTCTGGATATTAAGAATGGATAACATTTCACTAACCCAAGGAGTATGACTAGAAATGAGATCTTTGAGGATTTTTAGATTTAATCGAGTGTGATCCTGTCTGTAGTCAGCAACCACATGACTTTTCAAGTTTTTTTATGGAGTCAAATAGCAATGATGGCCTTCTAATTACACTATATTCTGGAAATGTATTAAAGTAATTTAGAAGTGTGAGGAATTCCATTCAGCAACTCCTCATGATCCTTGCAGGCTGTACGATGGGGTTGAATCATACACAACTTAACCAGGTGAACTCAACAGTCAATGTTGTGAGAACAGTGGGTGTTATCAACCCTGAAACGTGCTACACAGATTGGGGATGCTATGAGAAGAAAGTGTGAAATGATTTTTTGGATTTCCTTATCATCAGACAAAATGCAGTTATTGTTCATGTGGATTTGTGGTGGTGACTCCTTTGAAAGTCATTGTTGGAAAATAAAATGAATAATTAGTTGATAACCACAGAGAAACTTTAACCACCTTGCTGAGGATTCTGTGTATTCCAAATATGTTAATGATTTAATATAATATCACTCTTTAACAATCAAGAGTTTTTGTTTGTTTGAGATGGATTTTCACTCTGTTGCCCAGGCTGGAGTGCAGTGGTGCGATCTTGGCTCACTGCAACCTCCGCCTCCTGGGGTTCAAACAATTCTCCTGCCTCAGCTTCCTGAGTAGCTGGGACTACAGGCGTGAGCTAATTTGTGTGTGTGTGTGTGTGTGTGTGTGTGTGTGTGTTTTGTAGAGATGGGGTTTCACTATGTTGGCTAAGCTGGTCTCAAACTCCTGACCTCAGGTGATCCACCCACCTCAGCCTCCCAAAGTGCTGGGATTACAGGTGTGAGCCACCGCACCTGGCCAGTCTAAGATATTTTTCAAGGATTACTTTGATCATGCATGATTTTTACCTTGTGCACCGATTTTAGAAATTAATCTCAGTGATATATGCAATTCCATTGTATTAGTATTTTACAGATATTGATTCTGGCATACATTATTCTTGATCAATAATACTAATAGTAACTAACATTTTTGAAGGCATAGTAATAGTACATACAGGCACAATGCTTACATTCTTTATATGGGTATCTCAATTCTATTAGGTAGATACTATTTTTATGCTTTTCGCAGGTGAGAATATTGAGGGTCAGAGAGCCTAAGGGCCACGCTGTTGGTAAAGGCATATATTTTATTTTGGAAAAATGAGTTATTTGAATTATTTGGCACCAGGGTGAGTAATACAAGGGTAACTTTCCTCTGAGGGGCCATCTTATCCTCCCAGGCTATGAATTCTCTGAGGACAGAGCCTTCTCCATACCCTCCACTCTGTCTTGCACATAGTCAGTGCCCAAAAAATGTTTCCTAAGGAAATCAATGAAATTATATGTGCTGAGAAATAATTTTAACTGAGGAAGAATTTCTTAAGCAATAACCATGATCTATCATGGTCTATATTTAATCAGACACCTCAGAGAACTGAACATAAATGTAAATCCTTGCTAATCTAGACATACCTTCTGCCCTGAAAATCTGATCAAACACTGGCCTAGGCTGGGCACGGTGGCTCATGCCTGTAATCCCAGCACTTTGGGGAGCCGAGGCGGGTGGATCACCTGAGGTCAGGAGTTCGAGACCATGATGGTGAAACCTTGTCTCTACTAAAAATACAAAAATTAGCCAGGCGTGGTGGTGGGTGCCTGTAATCCCAGCTACTCGGGAGGCTGAGACAGAAGAATCTCTTGAATCTGGGAGGTGGAGGTTGTGGTGAGCTGAGATCACGCCACTGCACTCCAGCCTGGGTGACAGAGTGAGACTCCATCTCAAACAAACAAACAAAAACTGGCCAAATGGTTAGGATAAACAGCCTATACTTTGATAAACAACTTAATATTCTTTCTCTTATTCTGTGAAAAACTCCCTCAAGGAGTGCTTGTCAGGCCTCTTGCAGACCAGCCCTTTGCCAGCCTATTGTTGTTTATACAATCATTGCCACCTAAGCATCTCTCAAATGTATCTAAATCTACTGCCAACACCCATCATCTGCTGCCTAAATCACTGCTTCTCAAACTTGGCTGCGCTATGGAATTATCTGGGGAGTTTTAAAAATGACTGATGCCTGGGACCCCCACTTTGCCGCCCCACACGGAGATCCTGATTTAACTGGTATTGGGTATAGCCTGGGCGTCCAGATTTTTTAAAACTCCAAGCAATGTAACCAAAATTAAGAATGTTTAACCTGGCCAGGTGTGGTGGCTCATGTCTGTAATCCCAGCACTTTGGGAGGCTGAGGTGGGCAGATTGCTTGAGCCCGGGAGTTTGAGACCAGCCTGGGCAACATAGTAAGAACCTGTCTCTACAAAAAATACAAAAAGTAGCTGGGTGTGGTGGCTCATGCCTGTAGTCCCAGCTACTCAGGGGGCTGAGGGAGGAGGATCACTTGAGCCTGGGCTGCCAAGGCTGCGGTGAGCTGAGATTGCACCACTGCATTCCAGCCTGGGCAATGGGAGTGAGACCCTGTCTCAAAAAAAGAAAAAAACTTTAACCACTGCAATTTCCTCCTGACTCTCCACATTCAATCTTCGCCCCATGCTGCTCCCCACCCTGCCCCTCCTTTTCTTCTCCACAGTTAGAGGAACATTTTCAAAATGAATTTTTTTTAATTTTTTATTTCCATAGGTTTGGGGAGAACAGATGGTGTTTGGTTACATGGTAAGCTCTTTAGTGGTGATCTGTGAGATTTTGGTACATCCATCACCCGAGCAGTGTACACTGAACCCAATTTGTAGTCTTTTATCCCTCACAAAATGAAATTGTAATCATTACTTCTGCCTTCCTTAAAACTTTTCAACAGTTTCCCATTATTCTCAGACTAGAGGCCAAACCCTGAATATGACCTGTAACGTCTTTCATACTCTGGTCTTTCTTCCCATCCCTCCACCGCACCCTGCTCCATGATCCCTCCTGATTCCTATACTCCAGCACACCCTTATTGTTTTTAGTTCCTCAAACATGTCATGCTCCTTCCTGCCACAAGGCCTTTGCACATGCTGTACTCTCTATGAACCTGTTTCCCCACTCTCTGCCCAGTTAACTTTTAGCTTATCCTTCAGCTCTTGGCTCATCATTTCCTAAGGGAAGCTTTCTCTGACTTACTATATGCTCCTATAACCCCATATAAACTCTGCCTTATAGCATTTAAGGCAGGTAGACTTTTATGGTTATTTATTTTTTTAGAGTTGGGGTCTTGCTATGTTGCCCAGGCTGGAGTGCAGTAGTATAATCATACCTCATGCAGCCCCAAACTCCTGGGCTCAAGCAGTCCTCCTGACTCAGCCTCCTGAGTAGCTTGGACCACAGGGGCCACTACACCCAGTTAATTTTTAAATTTCTTTTGTAGGAGTGGGTTCTCACTGCGTCGCCCAGGCTGGTCTCAAACTCCTGTCCTCAAGCTGTCCTCCCACCTCGGTCCCCCAAAGTGCTGGGATTACAGGCATGCACCACCACACCCATCCATGGTTATTGAGTGTAGAAATCTTGTGTCTATTTTTGCTTCATGTGGTATGGCTAAAAGCTGTCACATTGACTGGCACTTAAATAGGCCCTCAAATTATTTCCTGAAGGAATATGTGTGGGTAAGTGAAAGTGTTCTTGATATCAAATATATCACCAAGTCCAGTTGATGCCACCCCCAAAATATCGCTGGAATCCATTTATTCCTCTTTATCTTCCCTGCTGGTCCCAGCCACCATCATCTCTGGTCTAACCTATTAAATTGTTTCTCAGTGGTCTGCCTGAGAAACTTTTCCCCTCCATTTAGCAGTGTCTTCACAGCAGCCAGAGGGCCGGGCACGGTGGCTCTTGCCTGTAATCCCAGCACTTTGAGAGGCCAAGTCAGGCAGATCACGAGGTCAGGAGATTGAGACCATCCTGTCCAACATGGTGAAACCGCACCTCTACTAAAAATACAAAAATTAGCTGGGCCTGGTGGTGCGCGCCTGTAGTCCCAGCTATTTGGGAGGCTGAGGCAGGAGAATCGCTTGAACCCGGGAGGTGGAGGTTGCAGTGAGATGAGATTGCGCCACTGCACTCCAGCCTGGGCAACAGAGCAACACTCCGTCTCAAAAAAAAAAAAAAAAAAAAACAGCAGCCAGAGTAATACAAATAATGCCGTTAAAATATAAGATGCCACTCTTCTGTTAAAAATCCTTCAATGTCTTACCATTGCTCGTAGAATAAAATCCAGTTGTCTGATCACTCTCACTCGTTACCCACCAAACAACACTGGTCTCCTTTCTATTCCTCAAATATGCCAAGCCCTTCCCAGTTTCCAGGCTTTTGCACTTACTGTTACTTTTGCCTGAAATGCCCTTTATATGACTCATTCTTATTTTTCAGGGCTTAGCTAAAATTGCATAGACATTTTCCCGGACTGCCCTATTTAAAGTAACTTCCTTTAGCTATCCTCATCTCCCTGCTTATTTCCCATATAGCACTACCACAATCTATGATTTGAAAAAAAAAAAAATGCACTTGGCTATGCTGTATATCCCCCACCAGAATGTCAGCCCTGCGGAAGCAGGTATCTTGTCTTCCCTGGTCACTGTATTCGGCAGATAGCAGTGTCTGGTTCATAACAGTTGCTCAACAAACAACTAAATCATACTGGGGTCACCAGCTTCCAGCATGGACCCCAGTGATTCTTGCCCCCTGGTATTCATGCCTTGTGTAATCCTCTGCACACTGCTTTAGAGCTGGCTGTATGTGACTAACAGGATACATCAGAAGTGACAGTGTGTGCTTTTGTTTTTGTTTTTTGAGACGGAGTCTTGCTCTGTCACTGTCATGCGCAGTGGCATGACCTCAACTCACTGCAACTTCCACCTCCTGGGTTCAAGCAATTCTCCTGCCTCAGCCTCCCAGGTAGCTGGGATTATAGGTGAGTGCCACCACACCCAGCTAATTTTTGTATTTTTAGTAGAGATGGGGTTCTGCCATGTTGGCCAGGCTGGTCTCGAACTTCTCACCTCAGGTGATCCTCCCGCTTCGGCCTTGCAAAGGGCTAGGATTACAGGCATGAGCCACTGTGCCAGGCCTCATCTTTCAACTCCTGCACCTCTATTTGGTATTTAGTCAGTTCCCAAGCCTCATCTTCCCAACTGGATTGTGAGTTCCCTGCAGGACTGAAATCATCTCCTGGACTTTCTATGTCCCGGCACAATACATAGCAGGTGGTGAGTATTTCATTGCTTTGCTAAAATTTATTTAGCTCCATAGGTTTGGAAAGAATTAAAAACTGTTTTCTAAACTAAGCAAGGGAGAACACCTTTTGTGTCTGTTTGTCTGTCTATGAGATCTCATAGCAGAGGAGTTGCAAAGAAGGTCCTGTTGAAGGTCACTTTGGAAACTGGAGGCGCACCTAGATTTCCTTATGCAAAGGGAACAGCTTTCAAACTCCCAGTTGGTCTTGAAAGGACAGCGTGCTCAGCCAGTTCTGTGGGGACCGGAACCCCATTGATGCTTTCTGGCCACCTCTTCTTTTTAGCCCCCTCCTCAGCCCCCAGCAACTTCTACTGCCCCAAGCCTCGTACATCCTTCAGCCCTAACCCGTGTCAAGCTAATCCCCAGCTTCCATTGCCATAGCCCTCCCCAGGGCTCCTTGGGACGGCAACCCCTACCACTCTGCACGCCCTCCCAGCACCTCCTTTCCCAGTGACCTTGACCTCAGCCCCAGCCTCCTCCCCAGCCCCTCAGCTCCCGCCGTGATCAGGCTCCAGTCGTCTCGGAGCCTCCAGAACCCAGCTTTGCCCTGCTTGAAGCCTCTCATCCCAAACCCCTGCTGGCAACCTCTGGCCCCCATGGCTATTGCCACCCCTACCCCTGGCTCAACTCCCCCAAGATCCACCTCTCCCTCCCTTTTCCTGATCTTCCTGATGGCTGCATTTGCTGTTCCCTGGGACCCAGGGGCCCAGCCCAGGCCATCTCCTTTGGCATTCCATATTTTAAGTAAATGGAAAGAGACACTCTTTAAAGAAGACTATTAAATAAATAATAGTACAGGTGACGCTCAGGTGTGACAGAGGCTCTGTAGCTTCTGAGTCAAGCACAGCTTGAAATGACCTGGGGCTGAATTCTGCTTCTCCTACCGCCTAGCTGTGTGACCTGGGGCTAGTTAATAAACTGCCTCTGACTTGGCTTTTCCTACAGTAAAATTGGGAAAATAGTAGGACTTTACTTCAGGGAGCTGCTTTCAGGACTAAATATGTGCCTGCCACAGTGTAAGAGCCTCCAAAATATTGAGGTTTACTCATTTTAAAAGTCTGTTGGCCAGGTGCAGTGGCTCACGCCTGTAATCCCACCACTTTGGGAGGCCAAGGTGGGTGGATCACTTCAGATCAGGAGTTCGAGACCAGCCTGGCCAACATGGTGAGACTCCGTCTATACTAAAAATACAAAAATTAGCTGGGCATGGTGGCGCATACCTGTAATCCCAGTTACTTGGGAGGCTGAGGCAGGAGAATCGCTTGAACCTGGGAGGTGGAGGTCCCAGATGGTGCCACTGCACTCCAGCCTGGGCGACAGAGTGAAACTCCATCTCAAAAAAAAAAAAAAAAAAAAAAAGAAAAACTCTGTGAATGAAGTAATTCATCCCAAGAACTAAAATTCAAAGCACCAATGACAGCAGGAACACAAGCAATGCTTTAATTGGTGTCTACATGTCCTCCCCCAAGGTCCTATACGTCGGGGAGCCTCAGTCCCTTTCAGTATTTTTTTTTTTTTGACAGTTTTGCTCCTGTTGCCCAGGCTGGAGTGCAGTCGCACGATCTCGGCTCACCGCAACCTCCGCCTCCCAGGTTCAAGCGATTCTCCTGCCTCAGCCTCCCGAGTAGCTGGAATTACAGGCATGCACCACCACTTTGTATTTTTAGTAGAGACAGGGTTTCTCCATGTTGGGCAGGCTGGTGCTGAACTCCTGACCTCAGGTGATCCGCCTGCCTCGGCCTCCCAAAGTGCCAGGATTACAGACATGAGCCACTGCGCCTGGCCCCCTTTCAGTATTTTTTTACATGCTGCAGCCTCACATATTACAAGGGGAACTTAGAATTTTTGAAACATGCCTCCAAATGTCAAATCATTGTCATAAAGTTTGAAATCGGGAATAAGAAAAGTTCCCTTAACAGTATGTTTAGGCACAATAATGATTTTGTCATGTGACAAGGGGCTCAGTGAAGAGTGGTCAACCAGGTGTGGTGGCTCACACCTGTAATCCCAGCACTTTGAGAAGCTGAGGCAGGAGGATTGCTTGAGGCCAGGAGTTTGAGGCCAGCCTGGGCAACAAAGCAAGACCCTCATCTCTATAAAAAAGAATTAAACAATTAGCTGGGTGCAGTGGCTTATGCCTGTAGTCTCAGCCACTTAGGAGACTAAGCCAGGAGGATTGCTTTAGGCCAGGAGTTCAAGACCAGCCTGGGCAACATAGCGAGACCATGTCTCTAATTTAAAAAAAAAAAAAAAAAGGCCGGGCGCAGTGGCTCAAGCCTGTAATCCTAGCACTTTGGGAGGCTTAGGCGGGCGGATCATGAGGTCAGGAGTTCGAGACCATCCCGGCCAACATGGTGAAACCCCGTCTCTACTAAAAATACAGAAAAATTAGCCGGGTGTGGTGGCGGCGCCTGTAGTCCCAGCTACTCAGGAGGCTGAGGCAGGAGAATGGAGTGAACCCAGGAGGCGGAGTTTGCAGTGAGCCGAGATCGCACCACTGCACTCCAGCCTGGGTGACAGAGCGAGACTCCGTCTCAAAAAAATAAAAATAAAAATAAATAAAAGATAAAAGAAAGCGTGGTCAGACTTGAGACTGTGTGTTAATAAGGATATATGCATTTCCATCCTCCCTGAAGTCTCCTCTGCAGGGAACTAGGTAGCGGGGAGCCTTGGGAAGCCCCCTAAATTCTTCCTGCACCCCAGAAACACACACACACATATCCATGCCTCCAACTCGACTGGTCCCAAACAGGCTCCCTGAGACAGCAAGCCTACAGGAGATGCTAATCTGTGGCCCAGGCAAGGTTAATCTCAGAGAGTTAAGAGCAGTTGGCCTGACTTACCAATCTCATAAAATGGCAGAGAATAGTCTCGTCGGTAAGTGGTTTCTTTATACCATGGCTCGGCAGGCTTTGAATGTCTTCGAAGACAAATATATCGAATGAGTGTTTGTTGGTCTAATTGAGGCTGATAGTGATATTTTGTCTTGGGTGGAATTGTCAAGTCTATGAGCGGTCTAAATGGAAATAGAAGTAGTTTGCTGAAAAGCCAGTAGAAAAAAGCAGTCCATTTTCTCGTCAGCTGGAATCCATTCCCTGGAAACGGCCGTGAGGCTAACAGAGAGTATTGACAAGACTCCCACAGCTCTGCGACCAGCCCTGGCAAAGCTGCAGTAGATGGTTCAGGGACTTCTGTTCCCTGTTCTTCCCTTTAGCATCCCTCCTCCTCTCCAATGACAGGTCCTAGGAGGTGATGCGTATCACACTCTCCACTAGATCCACCCGTGCACAGCCACTCCCCGCGCTCCAGAGGTCCCCGGTGCCCTTTCCCAGTGTAACTGTTCTGCGGATGTTTGTTGCTTCAAGGAACCAGTGCAGGCCTGGTGTGGTGGCTCACGCCTGTAATCCCAGCATTTTTGGAGGCTGATGGGGGCAGATCGCTTGAGCTCAGGAGTTCAAGTCCAGCCTGAGCAACACGGTGAAAACCCATCTCTACAAAAAAATACAAAAATTAGCCAGGCGTGGGGGTGTACACCTGTAGTCCTAGCTACTAGGGAGGCTCAGGTGGGAGGATCCCTTGAGCCCAGGAGGCAGAGGTTGCAGTGAGCCGAGACTGAGCCTGGGTGACAGAGCCCGACCCTGTCTCAAAGAAATAAATAAAATAAAATAGGAATCAATACAACTGGTTAGACTAACCACTATGTGCCTCTTGGGGTTTGATGGACCTGAAATCATTACAACCTTCCTGTACCCCTACTCAAATAGGTATCCCTTGGAAAAGAAAAGCAAAGAACAACCAAAATGTAGTGGCAAAATATCGCTTGTGGCAGTATACCTTCACTGGTCCAGCTTTGGTGATATATATTAAGACCTTGAAAATCTGCACATATTTTATCCCAACAATTAGGATGTCAACAAAGACTTAGCTCTAAGAATGCTTGTCAAAGTGTTTTTATGATAATAAAAAGAGTGGGACAACTTGCATGTAAAAAAATAGGAAATTATTTAGACAATGACGCAGAAATATGTGGGAATGCCATGCCACCATTAAAAGTGATGCTGTGGCCGGGCGTGGTGGCTCACGCCTGTCATCCCAGCACTTTGGGAGGCCGAGGCAGGCGGATCATGAAGTCAGATCGAGACCATCCTGGCTAACACGGTGAAACCCCATCTCTACTAAAAATACAAAAAAGAATTAGTCGGGCATGGTGGCGGGTGCCTGTAGTCCCAGCTACTCGGGAGGCTGAGGCAGGAGAATGGCGTGAACCCGGGGGGCGGAGCTTGCAGTGAGCTGAGATCACGCCACTGCAGTCCAGCCTGGGAGACAGCGAGACTCCGTCTCAAAAAAAAAAAATAAAAATAAAGTGATGCTGTACGACTGGGTGCAGTGGCTCATGCCTGTAATCCCATCACTTTGGGAGGCCGAGGTTGGCGGATCACCTGAGGTCAGGAGTTCGAGACCACCCTGGCCAACATGGTGAAACCCCGTCTCTACTAATAATACAAAATTAGCCGAGCGTGATGGTGGCCGCCTGTAATCCCAGCTACTCGGGAGGCTGAGGCAGGAGAATCGCTGAACCCAAAGGCAGAGGTTGCAGCGAGCCGAGATCACGCCACTGCGCTTCAGCCTGGGCAACAAGAGCGAGACTCCATCTAAAAAAAAAAAGGGGGATGCTGTAGTATAGGATTATAACTTTTGAAATGGAAAAAAGTCCACGATACATTAAGTTTAAACAAAGGTTTCAATTGAATTATGCATTGAATTGAATTGAATTCATTCAATTGAATTAAATGGATAAATCGTATGGTATGTGAATTATCTCAATGCAGCTATTACCAAAAATAAAAATAAAAAGGTTTCGAAATACCCATCCCGTCCCACTTTGATGTAGATCTGGATGATTCTGCAGGATTATCTCTGGGTGATGATATTGTGGGTAATTTTCAATCATTCCATTTTTGACTGTGAATGTTTTCTAAATGTTCTCATAAACGTTTATGTTTTTAAACTATAAAATAGATGAGATGAGCTGCTGTTGATGTGAAAAATATTAAGTGTTGGCTGAGATTTAGGAACATCTAAATCTAAACGAGTGAGTAGCCTTCTGTGAGTATATCGCTGTGAACTCATCACACTTAGAGGGGAGATTAAGACTGCTTCATCATCAGTTATGTTTGCCTGATGGGGTAACCTTGATTGTGATGGGCCTTCTTTAAGAAAGAGTGTGTTAGCAGAAATGGAGAGGCTGTGCCTGACGTTCAGAAAAAGCAAGAACAAGAATCTGACCGTGCTCGTGGGGTACTGAATGGGGAGAGATGCTGGATGATGGGAAGGTGCTCTGTTGTGGATGGGCCTGAAGAATCATTGAGAATACCCACCCACCTCTGCTTGTTCTTATTTCATGCTTAACAGGTACCTGACCTTGTAAAGTAGGTGCCTTGAATGATGGGTGAGAGTACTCCTTTTCCTACAAAAGAATGTCTCCCATAACACAAAATAAGGTCAAAGTGCCTATGGGCTGGGTGCAATGGCTCATGCCTGTAATCCCAGCACTTTGGGAGGCCAAAGTGGGCGGATGACTTGAGGCCAGAAGTTCGAGACCAGCCTGACCAACATGGTGAAACCCTATCTCTACTAAAAATACAAAAAAATTAGCTGGGTATGGTAACGTGTGCCTGTAGTCTCAGTTACTGGGGAGGCTGAGGCATGAGAATTGCTCGAACCTGGGAGGTGGAGGTTGTGGTGAGGCAAGATCTCGCCACTGCACTCCAGCCTGGGCAACAGAGCAATACCTTTTCTCAAAACAGCAAGATATAAAATAAGAATAATCTCACCACTCATTAAAAAAAAAAACATTAACAGTTTGGTATATTTTCTTGCAAACCTCTTCTATCCATTATTATTTTTGCTATCATCAGTATTATGAGGAGTAGTGTATCTTCCCCCCGCCGACCCCTTTTTATCATTGTAGCTTTCGTGACATTCTTGGACATTGGGATTGAGGAGGTGTCTCACCTGGGAGCTCTCTTTGCACTATGATCAAAATGGAGTCTTGCCAGCTGCCCAGGGTAATAGCCTTGAACGTCTCTTCCTTGGTGAGCGATGAATATACTAGAGCAGAAAGTGAGGAGGTGAGAAGAAAGCCATTCTTACAATTAGTTCATTCCAGAAGAATGCCAGCTGCGGCATAATACAAAACGTATTTGGTCTTTGTCCCCAGTTTCTGGCACTGAGCCCCTAAAACCCATGGAATTTCCTGATAAGGGTCTTTTTCATGCATAACCAGCCCTTTTCTACCATAGCTGAGTGTATGGGCCTCGCAGGCCTCCCTCCTCCCACCACAACCTCCCGCATCTGTAATAAAATGTTATTTATGTTCAGGATTCATAAGGAAATATGTAACATATCAGGTATTAGGTTCAAAACGTTAGGAAAAAAATTAATAAGTGGATATATAAAACCAGTGGGTGGGCAAGCCTATTTCTGGAATAAAATGAAATTAAATGAAAAGAAAAACAAAAAATAAGAAATAAATAAATAAAACCAATGGGGCAAATGTTGATAACAGTTGAAATGTGGGAATCGGGCTGGGCACGGTGGCTCACACCTGTAATCCCAGCACCTTGGGAGGCCAAGGTGGGTGGATCACTTGGGGTCAGGAGTTCGAGACCAACCTGGCCAACATGGTGAAACCCCATCTCTACTAAAAATACAAAAAAAAAGCTGGACGTGGTGGCACATGCCTGTAATCCCAGCTACTGGGAAGGCTGCGCCAGGAGAATTGCTTTAACTCGGGAGGCAGAAGTTGCAGTGAGCTGAGATTGTGCCACTGCACTCCAGCCTGGGCAACAGTGCAAGACCCTGTCTCAAAAAAAAAAAAAAAAAAAAAAAAAAAGAGAAATGTGGGAATCCGTAAACGGAGGGCTCTGTCTGAAAAAAGTACATAAAAATAAAAATAATAAAAGAAATGTGGGAATTGGTAAATGGGAGCTCATTATACTGGTTTTTTCTACTTTTGATGTTTACAAAATTTCATCTTTTTTTTAACTGTAACAAATAAGTCTGTAAAGACTAATCGTGAAGCAGCACTGTGATGTCAAAGCACAAGGCGCTTGCAAGCCTGGGAGGGGGACTCGAGCCCTGTCTAGAGGCTGGATTTTGAGGAGTTTTGGGAGCATCATTGAGCTAACATGTGGGGACTGGGAGGGAGCACTTCTGTGGGGTGAACGTAAGAAGAGGTGGGACAAGGGTGGGTGGTACAAGTGGAATACAACGGGGCTGAGGGAGGCCAGGCTGGAGGGCAATGGTGCTCAGGTTTTATGCTTTAAAATACATCTCATTTTATTTTATTGTATTTATTTATTTATTTTGAGACGGAGTCTCACTCTGTCGCCCAGGCTGGAGTGCAGTGGCCCAATCTCAGCTCACTGCAACCTCCGCCTCCTGAGTTCAAGTGATTCTCCTGCCTCAGCCTCCCGAGTAGCTGGAATTACAGGTGCCTGCCACCACACCGGGCTAATTTTTGTATTTTTAGAAGAGATGGGTTTCACCATGGTGGCTAGGATGGTCTCAAACTCCTGGCCTCAAGTGATCCGCCCACCTTGGCCTCCCAAAGTGCTGGGATTACAGGCATGAGCCACTGCACCCGGCCAGAAATATGTCTCATTTTATAGTACATTGCTTTTCCTTTTATATTATAGTTATAAGACTGTAATGAGATAGGTTGGTGTAAAAGTAATTGCGGTTTTTGCTATGACTTTACTTTCAATGGCAAAAACTGCAATTACTTTTGCACCAACCTAATATTTTTAAATTATATGTGGTTGGTTTATATTATTTACAGATTTTATTTCAGAAGAATAGCAGAGATATTACAAAATATCTATTATTAAAAAGGGGGTATTGTGTCTGAAAGTTTGAGAACTACTGATGGAGGTGATAGGAATCTTTGTGAGGTTTGCTGTTGTTTGTTTTGTTTGCTTTTAGAGATGGAGTCTCACTGTTGCCCAGGCTATAGTGCAGTGTGATCATAGCTCACTGTAGCCTCTAACTCCTGGGATCCAGAGATCCTCCTGTTTCAGCTTCCTAAGTAGCTGGGAGGGACTACAGGCATGTACCATATGCCTGGCATGCATATATATATATATATAATTTTTTTTTGTAGTTTCACTATGTTGCCCAGGCTACTTTGTGAGATGTTTAACAAGGTTCATGACATGGTAGAGAAAGATCTTTTTTGATGGCAATGTGGAAAACCATTTTTTTTAAAAGACAGGGTCTCATTATGTTGCCCAGCCTGGTCTGGAACTCCTGGGCTCAAGTGATTCTCCCGCCTTGACCTCCCGAAGTGCTGGGATTGCAGGTGCGAGCCGCTGCACCCAGCCAGAAAACAAATTTGAAGACCATGTGACTAAAAGCAGAAAGACTGCTTAGGAAGTGATTGTAGTGCTTTATGTGGGACATGACGAAGCTCTGATATGATGGAAATGTGGATGGAGAGGATAGGGCTGATTGAGGATATTTTAGGAGATAGGATGGAGGGTAAAAGACAGGGAAGTGTCCAAGACAAAGCTGCATCTTCAGGCATTGGAAAGAATCCTGCCTTTCCCCAAGAGAGGGAACACAATAAATGGCCATCATTGGGAAGGTGACTTTATTGAGTTTGTGATGCCTGGACATGTGGGGTCTTTCGGGATGTCCCACAGATTCTGAGCAGTCAGTAGATGCCATAAAAATTCAAAGTCAGGAGGCTGGGCTCGCGCCTGTAATCCCAGCACTTTGGGAGGCCAAGGCGGGCGGATCGCAAGGTCAGGAGTTCGAGACCATCCTGGCTAACGCGGTGAAACCCAGTCTCTACTAAAAATACAAAAAATTAGCCAGGTGTGGTGGCGGGCACCTGTAGTCCCAGCTATTTGGGAGGCTGGGGCAGGAGAATGGTGTGAACCTGGAAGGTGGGGCTTGCAGTGAGCTGAGATCGTGCCACTGCACTCCAGCCTGGGGGACAGAGTGAGACTCCATCTCAAAAAAAAAAAAAAAAATTCAGAGTCAGTAGAAAGTAGCACATCATTTTGCATAACGTATCTCACTAAATATGTGTTAGATAATGGATGAAAACTGAAACTATGCCTTCAGTTCGACTCAACCAACATTTATTGAATGCACACAAAACACCCTGCACTATGCTAGGCTCTGCAGATACAAAGCTGACTAAGAAGCAGCGCTTGTCCTCAAAAAGCTCTTCACATGCTGAAATAGTGATCTGAATAAAGGGTCCATAGGACACAGAAGAGGGAGGAGTATCTAGATCTAGGACTCGGATAAGCAAAGGGGTTGGGGAAGAGATTCCAAGCAAAGGGAATTATAGGGGCCAAGACATGGACAGAATTAGGTTCTGAGTGGAGTGTATGAGGGCTAGAGTGGGCCTGACTGTCTAGCATGAAAGGCAAGCACTGAGCAGGGCGAGTTCTGTCTCTGTCTGTGCAAAGACGACCTCTGGGAGCTCTGATTTGCAGAAAAACCACAGGCTGTCTGGGCCTGCCCAGTGGCTGGGATAATATGACTGAGCCCTGGATGGTAAATAACAATGGGGTATTAAGTCATAAGAAGAGAGAGGAACTGGCACAATAAAGGGAACAAATGACATTTCTGAATGCACAGGGGTGGGACACGTAGCTTTCTTAGGCACCTATCCATTTTCTGAAGCACCACCTTGGAATATTACCCCAGGGCCACATTACAGTTTAAGAACCCACCTAAAGGATGCTGGTTTCTACAGTTGCTGGGCTGTGGGCGGTGGGCTGGGTTTTGACCATGGCGTGCATACAAACAAACACCTGCTGAATACAGGTGAGTAAACTCAGCGCTGCTCCTTAGAAGCAGTCAGTAAAAGCTGATTTGAGGATAAAGAATCCCAGCACCAGCACCAAGTAATCCTCCCTGCCACCGCCCCTTGGCAGTGTCTCTTGGCAGGTTTTGGGAGGAGTGAAAAGAAAATGGGAAGGTGTGTGTAAGGAGATGGGTGTGGAGAGAGGGATGGCTGGGTGGAGAAGAGAGTTTTGACCTCCTAAGGGGAAATGTCTAGCCAGGCCAGAGGCTGTGCATTACCCGGCCTCAGTGAATGATTGTGAAAGCACGTGCGGACTCTTCAGACTTGGCTGTGGAGGCCAGCCCAGCTCAGGGCTCTGCTCAGAGTGATTCTGTTGAACCCGGGTTTTAACCAGCTGTAGAAAGCCCTTTCCTTCTCACTGGGCAGGTGCAGGCACCGTGCGTGATTTTGAGTCCCTGATGGCTTGGCTTTTTGAGGTGATGTATTCAGTCCACATGAGAGCAAACCTGTTCCCTGGGAGGGTGGCTGTAAATGGAGTGGGATCTGGGCTTAGCCACAGTCAAAATTCAATATCTATAGGAGAGGCCAGAGGTGTCGGTCCCTCCAGAGCCTGGCCCCACAGCCCCAGGTAGCCTGTGTTCCTGTGACCACGCTCTTCTCTGTTACGGCCCTGCTGGGGCTCATCCTCTACAGAGCATTTTTACAGAAATGATCTCACTTAATCCTCACAGTCACCTTGCAAGGTAAACATGATTAACTCTCTGCTTTATAAGAATAGCCCAAGTCTCAGAAGGGTTAAGTGGACTTTTTAAGTAGTAAAGTCCACTTAAACAAGTAAATGCCAGCGCCGTGTATCAAACCCAGTTCTCCAAACTCCATGTCGCTATTCTGCCACCCGAGGGTATGTGTGATGATTTGTTTTAATAAGAATTCAGTGCTATTTTCATACAAACTCTGTGATTCTCTCATTTTGGGGCAGACAGCAAATAGACATTGTACACTAAAAAATAGGAAAAGCCATAAAGACACAGCAGTGTTAGCTGGAAGATGCTTTTAACTCAACGAAAAGCACTCACTGCAAGCTCTGCTGTGCCTCCAGTGGGCTAGGCACTAGGGATACAGTGATGACAATGTTGTCTTTCCACTCAAGAGTTCATAATCTGGTCAGGAAAGCCACGTTTAGGCAACTATCTAATCACAGACGATGTGGTGAGTGCTACGCCTGATAAGAAACTGAGGCTCAGGGGAAGTAAATAACTTAGCTAAGGACATGAGCTAGTAAGTCCAGAAGACAGAACTAAAGGAAGGACTAGGAAGCCTCCAGACCTGTGCCCTCATCTCCCAGGCTCTGCCGGCTCCACAAGAATCTCCTCAAGGGAGTGGGGAGCCTCAGTTTCCTCATCAGTAAAATGGGAATGATACTGTCTTCTCCTTTAATGATTGCATGAGAGTAAACGAGACATTTGTACTTGGTGGCTAACATCTCCCAAGGTGTTGGTATTGATACAGGAGATGGAAATTATTTAGGCAGATGGAAAGGGCAACAGAGTCCTCGGCGGAATTTCCCTTTTAACAAAAAGCAGCCCCAAAGTCATTTATTTTCTAACAAAGAGTAGCCTGTAAAATCATGCTGCAGACATGAATAAGCAAGCTGGAAACTTGTGTGGGTGAATGCTGGCAGCTGTGCCCATAGAAAAGGGCTACCTGAGGGCCAGCATGTTCAACATGGAGGCGCCATCTTCCCCTTTCTCTGTCACCACGTGTATAGTACAAACAAAAACAGGCAACTGAACGTGACCCGGCTAGGCAGAGAACCCATCTACATAATAAAAGATTAGGGTGGGGCGGCCAGCTTCTTCACGTGCCATGCAAACAGCACACCTAGTCCTAACCAGTTCTTCCCACATTATGCAAACACCACACCTAGTCCTAACCAGTTCTTCTCACGTTATGCAAATGGCACACCTGGTCCAACCAATCTTTCGTGCCCTATGTAAATCAGACACCACCTCCTCAAGCTCGGTTATAAAACCTGCACTTCACCAGGGACCAGAAGACCCACTGCGACTCCCTCTCTCTGTAAGAGAGAGATTTTCTCTTTCTTTAGCCTATTAAACCTCCGCTCTTAACCTCACTCCTTGTGTGTTCACGTCCTTGATTTCTTTGGCGTGTGGCAATGAACCACGGGTTGTACCCCAGAGAAATGACGCTGCTCCAATATCATCCCACGCAGGATGGGCTGACCACACAGTTGCCTCTGGATCTTCAGAGACTGTTTCGATCAAAGTTTTAAAAGTCTATTTAAATCACACACAAATTCTGTATCTTCGATCTTCTACAACACACTGAATTTAATCCACTTAAAGTGATCTTTTCAGGAGTATCCTGGGTTCCACAAACCAATGCCACACCCAGCCCTTCTCTGAGTGACAGGCCTCCAGCCTGTAGCCAGGGGATGGCACCAGTAAACAGTTGCATATAATATGATTTTTTTTTTTGAGACGGAGTCTGGCTCTGTCGCCAGGCTGGAGTGCAGTGGTGCAATCTTGGCTCACTGCCACCTCTGCCTTCCCAGGTTCAAGCAATTCTCCTGCCTCAGCCTCCCGAGAGGCTGGGACTACAGGTGTGTGCCATCACGCCCTGCTAATTTTTTGTATTTTTAGTAGAGACGGGGTTTTACCATGTTGGCCAGGATGGTCTCAATCTTTTGACCTCATGATCCGCCTGCCTCGCCTGCCATAGTGCTGGGATCACTGGCGTCAGCCACCGCACCCGGCCAATATGATGATGAATACAAGAATTTTATGTGGCCACTACTAAGTGTGAACCATTTAATATTTACTTTTATTTAGTGTCCCAAAACCTCAGTTTTCTGTAGCGTAGCTCTGAGGCTTGGCCATTTAAGGATGAATTGGATACATGCTTGTGCAGAACCACACAAGGGCAGGCTCAGGTGCCATCAGTCACCAGGGGTACACACCACACATAAACGATTGGATAACTTTGCTCACTCATTCATTTCAATATTTTCAACAACCGTGCCTACAGGGCCTACCAGGAATGGTAATCTGCAAGGCAGAGGTCATGATAGTGAGTTGCAGAGAAAGGGAAGTAAGCCCTGCCTGGAGGGCTAACCTGGAGATGTGGCAAAATGCAGTGACCACAAGCACAGACGTGAGTTTAAGTCCCATGTCCGCCAGTCAGTAGCTGTGGGATCTGGGGCAGTCATTTAACCACACCGTGCCTTGGTTTCCTCATATGAAACTCACAGTAGTGAAGGTTAAAGGAGTTCAGATGCACCTAGAACAGTGCTTGGCACAGAGTAAGAGCTTCAGAAGTGTTTACCATTATTATTCCAGGGGGTGAGACAGGCAGGATATAAAGAAACAGATAAAGTAGGCCAGGTGCAGTGGCTCAAGCCTGTAATCCCAGCACTTTGGGAGGCCAAGTTGAGTGGATCATTTGAGGTCAGGAGTTCGAGACCAGCCTGGCCAACATGGTGAAACCTTGTCTCTACTAAAAATAAAAAATTAGCCAGGTGTGGTGGTGGGCGCCTGTAGTCCCAGCACTCGAGAGGCTGAGGCATGAAAATCACTTGAACTCAGGAGGCAGAAGTTGCAGTGAACCAAGATCATACCACTGCACTCCAGCCTGGGTGACAGCGCAAGACTTTGTCTCAAAAAAACAAAAACAAAACAAAACAAAACAAAAAACCAAAAACCTTTCCTTCCTGAAACCCGGATGAGGAGGAAGCAGGGGAGAGAGGAATGGAGTTGGCTCCAGTATTTCCTGATTGTCTCCCCACAGCGTTTGCTCTTTCTGTGTGTGTTTGAGATCTGTTTTGTTCACTGAGAGGCCTATTTAACTGTGGTCTTATCTGGGGAAAATGGAAACAAACCTCCATTGGCCACTCCTGCCTAGTGCTCTGTGGTGTCTGGACCTGGCCGGGAGTCCGGGGGTTTGGGTGGAACTGAGCACAGCAGGCCCTGGGGCCCCTGGAGGCCTAAGGCTGGGCTGTCTTCTGCTCTCTGGGGCTTGTCCTCCGAGCCGCACGTGGGTTGGGGGGCACACTGACGGCTCCGGCTCTTCCTGCACCTGAACTAGTCTTGTTGCCCCCACCCTCCGCCCATAGTGCGCACCGTGAGGCAGCTCTGTGTGCCTCTCCTGACCTGTGGGTCCAATCAGCAAGTCCGTGCATTCCCCCTCCAGGCTGGATCTCCCATGGGACGGCTTCTCCAGCCCACGGCCACCCCTTGGTCCAGCTCACCATTGCCTCCCCCTGCTCTCTGCAATAACCCCCACTCTTGTCCTCAGACAATCTGTTCTCAGAGTGAGCTTCATAAAAGTAAATCGGATCAGGGCCCTCCATTGCATAAAACCCTTCAACCCATTGCATGTATAATAGCATAAAACCCAGACTCACTATTGTAGGCCACAAAGCCCTCCGGGAACTTCTCCTGCCTCTACCGTCCCAACCTTCTCCCAGCTCCAGCCCCTGTGTCATCATGTCATGGCTTCTTTCATGAATCAGGGATTTTGGACCTGCACTTCCTCCTCCCTAGACCGCACCCTTCTCCCACCCCCTGCCCCTATCACCCAGCATCATGCTCGGCTGACAACTGCTGAGAGAGCTGTTCCCTGAACACCCTGGCTAGAGAAGGTATTCTCCTTCTGCCTACCTCTCCACCTGATTATTCTCCCTCACACCCTTTTTCATTTCCTTTATCACAACTTCCAATTATTCTATCTGTTTAGTTTTTCTTTCTTTCTTTTTTTTGAGACAGAGTCTCATTCTGTTGCCCACACTGGAGTGCAGTAGTGCGATCTCGGCTCATCGCAACCTCTGCCTCCTGGGTTCAAGCGATTCTCCTGCCTCAGCTTCCCGAGTAGCTGGGATTCCAGGTGTGTGCCACCACGCCTGGCTAATTTTTGTATTTTTAGTAGAGACAGGGTTTCACCATGTTGGCCAGGCTGGTCTCGAACTCCTGACCTCAAGTGATCCACCCGCCTTGGCCTCCCAAAGTGCTGGGATTACAGGCACGAGCCACTGCATCAGGTCTTAAAAGAAAATTCTTAAGATGTAGCCAGGAAGGACACATCCATCCATTCACTCCTTCTGTAGTTTCTGGAAGAAGGACTTCTCTTTTGTTGACCAAACATGGCTAAAATAACTCAATATTAAAATAAACATGAGGCTGGGTGTTGTGGCTCACACCCATAATCCCACACTTTGTGATACCAAGTGGGAGGACTGCTTGAGGCCAGGAGTTCCAGACAGTCTGGGCAACATAGTGAGACCTGGTCTCTACAAAAAATTTAAAAATTAGCCAGGCAGCTTGTAGCCCTAGCTACTCAGGAGACTAAGGCAGCAGGAAGATCAGTTGAGCCCAGGAGTTTGAAGTTGGACTGAGCTATGATCCAGCCACTTCACTCCAGCCTGGGCAACAGAGCCAGACTTTGTCTCTAATAAATAAATAAAAATAAAATAAACTAAACACGAGGCTTGCTCAAAGCCACAAAGCCAACGGGGCTACAGGAGGCTGACCCCCATGTCATGGTGTGAGGTTGCTGTCACAAATTTATAGCTACTACACTGCTGCAGACCCGTCGAGGTGGTGAAGGGGGAGTGGGGTTAGGATTTACGGACTGTCATCTGATACCAAATTTAGCACAACAAGACAGATCTAGGGCTTGTTATTCTTGTGCCATAGAGGACC